>NC_000006.12:103555638-103707153 GCF_000001405.40 Homo sapiens | reverse complement strand
GATCATTATTAATTTCTGAAACAAAGTAGTAATTTTCCAATTACTAATAGTGTTCAAAGAAAAGATTGAGTGATGAGCTCTAAGGTTTCCTTGAAACTCCACATTGAAATGTTAGGTTTCTTTTCCGTCTGCCTATAACATTCTCCAAATTTGCCTCTGTCTGCAAACACAAAAATTATTTGCTGCCTCAAGACTCAGCTGAAGTTCCACCTCCACAGTGATGCCTGACTAAGACTGATCTACAAGGTCTTAGTTCACTTCTCAGCTCTAGTGGCATCTCCTAATTGTGTAGAAAATAAAAGTATTTACACAAAATGTTAGTAGATGCTGGGTGTTTTATCATTAAGTCAATTTGGAAAATATTCCATTAAGGTTAAACAGGCTTGGTTAATATATGAGTTCTGAGATTGAGAAATGTCGTGTGTTAATGTGAAAGTTAAGAGTGAAGTATGAGATGACAAATTTTATAGTTGTGTTTAATCAAAACACTTTTTCAGTGTCTGGCAGAACTAGTAAGTATTCTGTAGATCACCTTTGAGAAACCCTCTCATCACAGGATAATTGTGATCTAAAGCATTTATTTTATATTTAATTGTTTGTCATCTTTAATTGTTCAACTTTCCATATCTTTCCTTGAGGAGCATGTCTTGCATATACTTTCTTGAAGTCAAGGCATATGTGATAAAAACTGTGCAGACTCTCCTCTCAGTCACAGTGCCTAATATGACATTGAGAAGCAATGAATATTTTAAAAAATTAATCTCAATATATTTTCAATTGGGAGAATCTCCCTGCTGGTTTGTTCACACCTTTACCAGACTGTCAACAGCTACATTTTTGCGTACAGGAGTCTGTTTTCACAGTGATACACATATAACTTATTCTATTAAAGCATATATAACACCTATGCTAACTTACCGGACATGTAAAAAAGTCATATACTATGTTAATTTTAGCAAATGAAGAGTTTTTTAAGGAGTAAGAAGAATCATACTTTCCCAAAAAGTCTCCATATCCATCACTAACAGTCACATGAATTCTTACTTTCTTAGTTAACAAAATTGCCCTTAAACCAAAATTCTCTTATTTGAATTATATTTTATTTGTGAATTACCTTGTAAAATGAGAATATTTTTAGTTAAAAATTCCATTAAACTCTCTTGAAAACTTATATGAGTTAGTGTAATTCCCAGCATGACATTTTCTTTCTCATTGCAGGGCATATCCTTAGAGCAATGACTCTAATTTTCACCCAGCAGTTCTTTCTTCATTATGATCACCCTTTTGGATTTTCCATGGATTGGTGCCATTACATCCACCTTCTCTCAATCTTCATGGTTAATCCTATTTTCAATGACATGTAGTCCTATGAATTAGCTCCTCCTTAAGTATAAATATTATTTGTCTAAATCTCAATAATTCTGGGTTATGATATACGTGCCTTGTCATTTTGTTAGTACATGAAGTTTGATTTATAATACATGTCAATCTGCAAATTTCTGAAACATAATTCCAGGTTGAAGGAAGAAAAAGTGAGACTATAGCAAGTAGGAAGGTATTAGATTTTACCAAAGAAATGGTTTCATGATTTCATTGAAATATATCATCAATATTTTCAAATTCAAAGAATGCTTTTGTTAAATTCTTAAAAGACATATAAATTAACTTTTTAAAACTTGACCTTTATTTCCCACATAAGTGAAAATCACAATATGCCATAGGCCTATGTAATGATCAGTGGTTCACAATATGGAATTTAATGATAGAAACTATCATATTATTATTAAATCTTCCATCTGGGTACTGAAAATGCAAGAGCAGTGTGATTTTTACATAATTATTCTTTAAAATAAACTTTAATGCAGAAAAATCACAAAGTTTCTTGCTTTTGAAGTGACTCATAAGGTTTGCATGTAAAACCATCAACTACTCCAATGAGAAAAAAATGTGAGAGAATCACAATATCATTCGTACATACATACATACACTGTTGTGTAAGATGCTATGTGTTCTGCTATATCTGATACAAGGAGTTTTTTGCATCTGAACTCAATCTCGAGCCAGCCATGGCTTTCTTTTTTCCTTCATCTTCTCCTTTTCTAAACTGTGAAACTTTTATCTGGTTAGGTAACATATTTAAATTTGTAATATTGAAATAAAATTGTTCCTTCAGTGGGTCCTGGCTTTTAGTTTGAGAAGGACAGATATAGTGCCAGAAAATTCAGTGCTGTGGTGATTTGGGAAAAAAATGATATTTGTATGGAATCCTTCTGTCTGAAGTTGATTCAGTATATTTTCAAGGTTTGCTCAACTCTAGAATCCTATTGGTATTTAAGGTTAACTTCTTTTCATATATAGGAGACAATCCTGGAACATTTTTTGTTTGTTTGTTTCAGACTTTTAGGTGTTCTGGTATGGTTAAGAGCCTTAACGGTGTTCTATAGTGAGCTTCAAAGCACCCCTCTGTTAATGAGTCTGATTGGGCATAGGTCTTCATTTCTCTGGTTTAGCTGTGGGCTATTCTGGATAATACATTTGACATAATTACTAAATTAGCTCCTCTACTTCTCAGTTCTATGAGGTTCAGAGAGTGAGCCAAATTTGGTTATTTTATAAGGAATATAGCCATTTTCACCTAATAGAAATGGGAAAAAATGAGAGTTTTTAGAATTACTCACTGAAAGATGCAAAATTTATGTAAAATTGGGAAAAATACTGAAGAAATTTGAAGAAAAATGTCTGTGACGAAATAAGCTTCTTTTGGGAACAGACTGGTTGGCTCTTTCAATTGTGCCTCTAACAGATTCTTCCTATTTTCTTGCTAATACAATCTGGTTTTGTTAGGAAACTGATGAGGATGTGCTAAGAGAAAGTGAGCCCTATGCACTCTAGGACTTTTTGCTCTGTGAAAACCATGGAAATTCCTTTCTCTTTTATTAAAGATTAATTTGGAGTTGAACATCTGACCCAATTCAGTTTAATAAGAAGTCAGGGAATTTTGCCAGAGAATTAATAAAAGAGAGATGTAAAGAAATGCCCCCCCCCCCCACCTTGGCCCCCATTTTCCTTACTGCCTTGGAGACATGATGCTTGCAGTATTGATGTACAACTTGCAAACATATGGGGACACCAAGAGATGTGCAGAGCAGCTGATTGAGATCCCTGACACTGGTGATCTTCTGAATTAATCAACCATGGACTTACCTCTTTTCTGGATTTTTGTCATGTGAGACAATAAATGTGCATAGTTTAAGCCATGTTCAGTTTAAAAAAATGCTACCTAAAATGTTGTGGTATGTCGCTGTGTGTATCCAGGTAAAGAATTTAAACCTGCTAGAATAATGCCAGGTATGTCCCCAAGGTCACTAGAGAGCCTCTTGAACTAGCAAATGAGTGCCACACTAATTGCTTTTAGACTGTCTTCAGTAAAAGCCTCTATTTGTGGCCCACAGGCCTTCAAACAGACTTCATTGATCTGTAAGGTAGGAGTAGTCACTCGTCAATTTGTGCCATATCCCTGTTGTTATGTCCTTGCCCACTTTACATATTTGTATGATCTAATTGCCTACTGTTGGCATGTGAATTGAGCTTTTTGGTTAAAGGCTTATAGAATTAATTCTAGAAACATTTATGCAAACATCTTAAGGTATTAAAAAAGAACACTTGCGATATTTTCAAATATTTCCTACATCAATTCCACCACCAAATATTTATTCTATGAATATAAATGTTCCAGTGTGTAAATATGTAGGTATATTATATTAATCTTTAGAACAGTGATAATTTTAATAAAATCATGAAAAACTTAACCAATAAAATAAAATATGCTACATGCAGTTTTGAAAAAATGTTGTTTCTCTTCATTTTTCATATTTATCTCAGTTTGATCTATTATAATAAAAATAGAATAACTGATCTAGCAACTGGGAAGGAATGTGTATAAAATACATAAAACAATTTTGCATAGATACAAAACAGGTGAATTTTATGATTTTTGGTTAACATCCATAATGCCTGTCATGGTCATGTTACACATAGAATAAGCACTCAATCTCGGTTTTGATTGTGCTTATAGAATTATATTTGTGGAGCATTTCTTATGGAAATTTGCATATTTAAATTACAAGCCAAATTAGAGAAGAACTATACTGACATAACTGAGGATGGCAAAGGAAATTGTGAGCCACCCAAAAGTCTGCAATAATTTGTGAAAATATCCATCACTGACATATCAATTTAGAGTAACTTTTCTTAAAAAGTCTGCATTGCAGTCTCTACTCTTGGTTCTACCACTCTTAGGCACTAGAAAAGTGATGTAATTCCTTTGAATTTAAATTACCTTTTAATGTTGATTATATCTTCCTCTGCCTACCTTCAAATATATGAATATAAATGACAAAAATGTATATGAATAATCTATAAGGAAAATGTGTTAAATGGTAAAAATATCTTAAGGTATTTGAAAAAGGTAACATTAACATTTTGGTCAAAGAATATTAATATTTAGGATGTTTGTTGATACTGTAGAGAATGCAAATAAATTAGAATCTTTTGAAAGTGAAGTACTAAATAAATTGACTTCAAAAATGTGTGTTTTTATATTAATTTTCCTTCAGTTATATTTATCTTTAACCTTAGCAAATTGCCACATTCATAACATATTTTGTGAGTGAATTTATATGAACTTTATACATTTTAAATTAGAATTTGCCTTATAATGTTCTAGAAAGGGAATAAGCTACTACTTGTAGGACAGAAGAGCAAGGACCCACTAAACCTTTCATTTATATTTTCTCTTAATCTTAAATTATACCTAAGTGTCCTAGTATTGACTAGACAGTGATGTAACCAAGGTAAACACGAAGTCCCTGGAAGTTTATGGTTTTCAAAATAAAACAATAAAGCAGGTAGAATATTAGTTCATAAACCTACCCATTTGTGCCAAAAAGTGTGTAACAAAAATAAGCAAGTTATTTTCAAGGATATTTCTATGTACATTTTCAAGTGCGTATGGTGTTCTTTGGATGTGAAGATTATTTAATGCTATGAAGTGCTGAGTGCCTTGGAGGGAAGATTGATAAGACATGTCATAAAGTGTGGAATCAGGAATGAAAAAAATAGAGAAATAAAAGTTTATAAGAAGTGGAGTACAGATTATAGAAGGAAATGTAGTTTAGAACGGAGGGCTTATTCTTCACAGGGTGGACAGTGTTTCTTATAGCAGAGTAAGAAGAATTTAATTCTACTAAATCTTTGGACTGACGTGTATTCAAGTTCTAGCTCTACATGGTCTCAAGGCCAAATTAATTATACTTGTTGATCTTATTCCTTTAATCTCTAAAATGGACAGAAGAAGAAGATTTACCAAATGATTGAAAATATGTGTAGTGCTTAGGCTGCTCTGTGTAAAGCAACCTAAAGGTACCCAGAATGCTGCAGTAGTAATAGAAGTGGGAGGAGTAGGAGATGGAGAAAATTCAGGTGGACAAAAAGCAGCAAGGTACGTAGCTGGTGCAGGAGTAGAGGAGGAAGAAGGCGGGATAAGTTGTGATTCTCGTTGTGTAGTTCATAAAAGTATATACTTAAAAGAAACTGAAGCTACTCCTATGCCCATAGCAAACAGAGAAATGTTGGAATAATGCATGGTATTCAAAAACGAATAACATAACAGTCATTGAAAAGAAGCATGAGTATTAAAAGGAACTCATATTGGCAAACCTAAGCCCCATATCTAGTGATAAAGACAAGAAACTCCTGGATGTGGGAGACACTTACTTGTGGGAGAAGACTGTTCCTCACCTCTTCCACTGCTGCCTGCACACCTGCGTTGGTAATGAGTGAGAGGTGTGGAGGGATGATCATTTATGATGGAGTCACAAAAAACACAGCAGCAGGCCATGCAGAGACTAAACATGTGGCCCCCAAGTGTTCCCAACTGAAAAAATCTGGGGTTTTACTTTTTGAGGAAGAATAATTTGTGTGCCTGGAACTTGTCTCTGCGATACCACAGGCACTCCCCTCAGAATCCTGACTTACATCAAAGGAACCTCATTATTTATTCATGCATTTAACAGCATGGGATAAAATCCACGCAAGGGGATTTTTTCAGATGATTCCTTATGAGAAAAATATTAATTTTATGTTGGCTATATGATATGATTCCAAAGAAATGCACTGAGGTATCCATGATTAATTGTCAAATGAATATAAATCACTGAAAAGAACAAATCCCAATATCTACCCCTTGATTTAGACTGACAATGCTAAATTTCTTAAAAATTAAATTTGATAAGATTAACACATTATTCAAGAAACATTTGTAGATATTTAAATGCTTTTGGATTGCTTTAGAAACAAAATTCAGAACTTCGTTTTATATTTTCAGTCAGCTGTTGAACAGAAACATTGTAGAGTGTGTGTGTGTCTGTGTGTGTGTGTGTTTAAATTTTTATATTTTTTTGGCTATATAAGAATTAAGCTTGAGCTGCTTTATTTGATGTGGTAACAAGATCCAAATCAGGTATTTAAAACATTTACAGGTTGAATATTTATTATTTTCCTCTCATGCAAAATAAATCTTAAATCTGAGCTCACTGTGTATTTAAAGTTAAAATGTTAGCAGCCGCTACATGTCCACTACAGACTTATGAATTGTTAACATGTAAAGCTTTATTAGACTTCTTTGCTAAGTACTTCATTTCAAGTAACTGACATGATTAGCCAGTTTTCAAACTGCAAAATATCTCACTGCTCTCCAATTTTGATTATTACATAACTCTTCTAAAAGTATGAAGAGACATATTTGATTATTACATAACTCTCCTTCTGAAAGCATGAAGTGTCTGTATTTTGAAGTGAAATCTTGAAATTCGTATTATATTTTGTAAACCATTAAGCAAGAGTTAAAGTCACAAATAATATTTCACTCCTTCTGTAGAATGCTGAATGCAGCCAGTTAAGTTTAACCTAAGCATATTTACTTCATCTAAAAATAAGAGTTGAAAAACTTGCTTCAGATTTTTTTTGAAGACTTCTGAATATCATGACCCAAAGATTCATGCTAAATCGTTTTGTTCCAATGAATGAGAGAACATTTCCAGAAATTTCAGGCTTGTCAAAAACATTAATCACCTATTTAAAAATCCATTACCATGAAATGTAACTTTTAAGGAGGAAATACCTTTGTCAGCAAAACTTGTACACATTAAATGTTCACCTAAAAAAGCTGTTGTCATATTCCATTGACATAAATTAAAAGTATTATTTCTGTTTTATTTTATAAGTTTTGAATTGTTTTTGAGAAATTTAATCAAGTTAATTTGCAAAGTTTTTTTTTATAAAAATAAAAAAATGCACATTGAGCCACAACTAAAATTATGAAATAAAGGCTTCATGTTTTGAAAAATGTTTCTGACATCAAGGGCAAGTATAGCAGTATGGAGGGAACAAAGGAGTCTCTTAGGCAGTTCCAACTCAAGGTGATCCTAGTTACATTTCTGATAGGTGAAGGCTTTGGTTTTGAGGAGTGATTCTGACTTGATTGGCAATTTGTTAATGAAGTGATCAAATGCATAAAGGAGACATACTTGTCACCCTTCTCTATTCTTAAATGACAATCATCTGTCTTTACTTTGTGAGCTTTCATGAGTAATTCTGTACTATAGCATAAAAGTAAGTCCTTAAGTGCACTGTCTTATTTATTCTTGTATATGCTATGTGTTTAAGGAATCCTTTCTGTATCTCCAACATTACAGTCTCAATTAGCACAGTAAATAGCATAATGAAAAGGTGTAATGAAACAGGTCATAATAGCTTTTCACAGACATGCCAAATAGATGGATAATGATTGCATTTTCTGTCCTCATCTTAGTTTTAAATCACATGTCTATCTTAATAAATATTGAGTAATAGGTCTCAGAGCTGCAGTCCAAATCTAATTTCTGTGTGAGATTTGAAAAGCTTGTGTATTTTTATGTGCGGATTTTTTTTAAGTTCCGTACTGCAAAGAATATAGTTAGTATAATAGCACAGACTGCTGAATTTATTTAAAAAGAGGAGAATAGACTAAACTTAGAAAGTACCAAGGATTCACCTACAGGATGAGATGTGCTTGTATTGAGCATATTACCACATTGTCAGGAGGTGGCAATTCACCAACTTTTTTTTTTCATCACTATCAGTGATTTTTGAGATTTGCATTTTAAGAAATTATAGCTTAAAGATTTATTCAGTACCTTGCAGTTTACAAAGTTTTTCTCCCAAAATATTCCCTTTCATGATTCTCACAATAATTATTAAAAAAATAGACAGAACATATGTCCCTTATTTCTCAATTTCCATATGAGGAAATGCGAAAAGAGAAAATCCAGGAAACATCCCTACCTCGTGTCAGGGTGGAGCAAAGTCCTGGTTTAAGGCTCTCCGGGTTGTACTCTGCTTTCTTGATTCCTAAGGAAAGAGTGTTTGCTGCTAAAACATATTTTTATACCTCCCATGTTGATTTTAATCCTGCAAAGAAATAGAGAATGTAAGGGAATCACACTAAATGTAAAATTCTGAAAATAAAAATGTGCATTATTTATCTCTCTCTCATGTAAGGCTATGTTCATGGTTCCCAATTCTAAAATAATTCAAACAAGGAGGATGAGATCCCATTGGACCCTCGCAGGATCCTTTGAAGTGTTTAGTAGGCACTAGAGAGAGCTTTTTTTTTTTTTCTTTAAATACTGTGAAAAATTCTGTTTGGTCTTGGAATCTACATAGTCTTGAGAATTGTGAATACTTCTATTTCATCCAGGTCAATAGAGAGTTAGGGTCATCTCACTCTAGCAAGAACTCATGTTCCAACAGCAACTATCCAAAGAAATTTTCTGGAAAACATTAGCCAGAAAGAAATTATGTAAAATCACAAATAAATGCAAGTATTATCTTAATAGATTTAGTTTCTGTAAGTTAAATTTTGCTTTAAAAAGCCATGTGCCATGAAAAGGAAGTAAGATTTTTAAAAAATATTTTTGTTTTATTTAAACAAATTAACAAAAATATTGTAGTAGTCTAGTGCATTTCCACTAATGATTGAGCTAACATTAAATGTTTGGAGGATTGAATACTTACTCTTATTTAGCAGAGAGGATAAACGGTAGACACCCATGTACTTATATTTTCTAGGTGTTCTTTTTTTTAAAGTACATTGCAGTGCATTTCTCATCTAGAAAATTCACTTGGTTTTAAACATTGCTGAGATTCTAAAGAAAATGTGACAGAAAATGTGAAATTAATGTGTCATTAACCATAATGTGATACAATTTCATGGCAAATTGAAGTTCAAAATTTTCCTCTAGAATCATCATCCCTAAGAAAGACATTTCTGTATGAGAGTCTTTGCTGTGGCTGTGTATTTCTGGAGAGACTGGATGTCTGGATGTAGAAAACATGTCTATAACTTTAAGATAAACAATGAAGGTGATAGCAAAACATCTTAAATTACTTGGCTGGGGTGGGTGGGAGGCGGGATACTACCCTTTTCTTCTTGCATTAAAAAAAAAACTAAGCATATTAAAACACATATCTTGCATTTGGCAAAAATCTAAACATGAGAACTTCTTGTTTATGTGACTTTATAAAGCATCTCATAATTCCTGAATTAAAATTCTAGAATTTATCATAGGATTCATTGCTTTCAATGCATATGGTTGATTTTGTTCTAGTATAGAAATGTTACTAAATAAGTTGTGGGTATGTGGAATAGCCAATAGGTTATATTTATTTAAGTTTGTTTATTTTTCTAATTTCCTTGGTTTTTGAATGGTACTGATGCTTATAATTTTTTGAATGTGCATTTAGACTTTCAGATAATCATAAAATTTTCCTTCGTTTCTATTGTCCTTTCTACTCCTAACATGCTTTAGTCGCTTCGGATCCATTCTTCCCTTCACCATTATAAGCTGTAGGGATTTTCCTCAAATCATTTTAGCCTTCAGTGTGATGTGTTCCCTTTTCAACTCAGGTGATTTATTATTTATAAGCCACTTATCCAGCACTTATTCTTAAATTGAATATGTTTAATCTATTGTATTATTTAATTTTGCTTAAAAGTGGCATGCATATTTATGATTTATTACACAACCACATCAAAAGCAAGAACCATGTTTTATACTTTTCTATATTGTCTCTCGTACCTTACCTTCATTAGACACAATAAATTTGGATTCTGAAAATGAACTTCATGTGCACTGGCTGAAATTGAATGCCAATATCCCTTTTTAAGGATTTAAAACATTAAATTTTGAAAGAAATTTGTTTATTTCAAATATATGATTTCACCAATCAAATAAGAAAAGGAGCACTTTAGGTAAGTTCCTAACGTGCACCGTAATGGAATGTGTAATCTCAGGGAATTATTTATGCTAGAAAAGGAAGCACTGTGAAGATACAGCTGTGAATAGGAAAAAAAACTGGAAAGGCTACTTTTCTTGAGGAGTTTGCATTCTAGTCCAGACCTTTTCACTTGATGTGAACTGGATCCCTAGTCTTCAAGGTGACTGCCCAGCACCTGGAAGGGCCCATGGGTTAGTTGCTTCAGATGCACCCATTCTTGTCCCTTCGTTCATATGCCATACAAATATTAGCTTTTTCTCTTTGTGTCAATACATAAATGGTGTCGGGGTAATATATTTCTCTGACTGATTCATTTATTGAAGCAACTAAATGTATTCGTCTTTATTCAGTGCTGTGTACTGAGGACTGTGTGTGTTGCAAAAGCTCTTGGGTTTCTCTTTAGATCACAGTTAGGATTTAATTGCCACAGGATCATTTCTCCCCAGGTTAGGTTTGATCCTTCTATTTTAGTTATTTTGCGTATGCATAACTTTTCATTTCCAAACTCATGTTATTTGCAATTTTACATTTGTTTACATGCATACATACTAATAATTACTCTACAAATAGACTGCCACTTCCACCAAAACAGATGGTATTAGTTTTTGATTATCATTAAATATCTAGCATAGAACAATGATACTTATATGTTAAATGAATAAAGGATATGCATCTTAAAACTTTTCTGTAGTCATAGAATACAATTATTTGTAGAAAAACATGATTTTAACAATAGTCATATTTTATAAGTAGTCCATATCACTTAGATATGAATATTTTGCTCTTTAATACATTGGTAATAACCTGATATAGTTTATACTGAAACTAATGTTTACTCAAAATGTGTGCATTTTTCTTTAGAGTTGCAATTATTTTTGTAACATTTTATTCTGTTGTTGGTTATCACATAAGTACTTACAACTGGCACTTTAAAATTTTGTTTTCTTGGCCGGGCACGGTGGCTCATGCCTGTAACCCCAGCACTTTGGGAGGCCGAGGCGGGCGGATCACGAGGTCAAGAGATTGAGACCATCCTGGCCAACATGGTGGAACCCCGTCTCTATTAAAAACACAAAAATTACCTGGGCCTGGTGGCGGGCACCTGTAGTCTCAGCTACTTGGGAGGCTGAGGCAGGAGAATCACTTGAACCCGGGAGGCAGAGGTTGCAGTGAGCCAAGATGGCACCACTGCACTACAGCCTGGCGATAGAGAGAATCCGTCTCAAAAATAAATAAATAAATAAATAATTGTTTTCTTTTGCCTTTTAGAATATAAGAAATGTGCTTCTGGGAAAATAATACTTAAAGAACAAATTTATGGCCGGGCACGGTGGCTCATGCCTGTAATGCCAGTACTTTGGGAGGCCTGTAATGCCAGCACTTTGGGAGGCCAAGGAGGGCGGATCATGAGGACAGGAGATAGAGACCATCCTGGCTAACACGGTGAAACACCGTCTTTACTAAAAATCAAAAAAAAAAAAAAAAAAAAAAAAAATTAGCCGGGTGTGGTGGCGGGTGCCTGTAGTCCCAGCTACTCGGGAAGCTGAGGCAGGAGAATGGCGTGAACCTGGGAAGCGGGGCTTTCAGTGAGCCGAGATCGCTCCACTGCACTCCAGCCTGGGCTACAGAGTGAGACTCCGTCTCAAAAACAAAAACAAAACTAAACAAAAAGAACAAATTTATAATTCTCAATTCTAGATTCACCTGGGTGGGGGGGTGGGAATGTAAATGGACCTATTTTTAAAACCTTGTCTTTACTAAATCTATATGCCACATTTTTATTTCAAATCCTTGAAACAGGATACAAATTGCCTCAAATTAAAGAAAGACAAATAGAATAAACACACAACTACTTTTAAAAACACAGGTTTATTGAGGTATAACTGGTCTTTTAAAAACTATACACATCTAATATATAAAATTTGATGAGTTTTGACATATGCATACACACACATGAAACAACCACCGCAATCAAGGTAATAGACATATCTACCACTTTCAAAAGTTTCCTTGCATACCTTTTTTCTTTTTCTTTTTTTTTTGTGTTAAAACACTGAACATGCGATCTCACATTTTAACAAATTTGTTAGTACATAATACAATATTGTTAACTCTAGGTGCTGTGCTATATACAGTTGATCCCTAGGACTTATTCGTCTTGTATAGCTGAAGTTTCATAAAAATTGAACAATTATCCATTTTCCCTCTTCCAGCCCTTGGTAACCACTTTCAATTCTATAAGTTCTGGTATAAGCCTGATGTAAAATCTGGTACTTTTGACTGAATAGATCTCTAATAATAGTTTTAATTCCATTTATAGATGTAAGCCCATTAAAATTTTTTCTCTCCACTTGGATTACATTTATTTTAATGTTCTTAGGTAGCAACAATATGTTGGTATAATTTGTCTATAATCTTATTTTTTAAGTTCTCTTTACCTGCCTCATATTTTTCCATATTTTTAGTGCTCTTTTGTTTTTCAGAAGTTTATCTTATTAATCTTTTTAAAAAGCCAAAGTAATGGTTCTCAAAGATAAATTTCTTTAATTAAGTTTATACCTGAGTTCACACTTGCATAATCAACTAAGTGATAATTTGACTGAATATAATTTTTGTTTAAAATCATCTTTTTCCAGAACTCTAAGAAATTATTCCATGGTTTTCAAATATTTCTTACTGACAAATTTATTGTTAATCTTAGATTTTTTGTGTTGTAAGATAGCTGCTTTTTCTTTCAGAAAGCTTTCAAAGGTTTTATCTTTTTAGTTCAGAAGTTTTATGAGGATGCATCTGTTATTGTTTCTTCTTTAAAAAAAATTTGTCTAGCAATTAGTAGGCCCTTTTCACCTAGAAAAACCGGAGACTTTCAACAACAAATATGGCAGATTTGTTACCAGAACCCTGCTTTCTCAGAGCTCAGGGTTTCTTCTACAAATCTATTGGTAACACCTGTCTATTAAATTATCTTAAAATTTCCTCTGTTGCCACCAAGGCAGGAGTTTCTGAGCTCTGCTGAATTTTCCCTTCAATCAGATGTTATTTACTCTGTGCTTTCCAGAGAACCACCAATGTTTGCCTTTGTCTATCTGAACTGTTTCGTTTTTTGATCATGACTTTGTTTTGAAATTTTCTTTTTTTCTCAGTGGAATTTGTGAAGGGAAATGAGTGAGTTAATAGGCTTAATACTTAAGCTCAAAGTGGAAATAAATTACTTTTGATTTGTAAAATACTTTTTTATTTACTAAGAATAGTGATTGTTCATTGTCTATTATATTTTACACATTTACTTATTTTAAATTTTGTGCATGGTGTTTTAATTTGCGGAAACATAGTTTATATAATCAGGTCTATTATTTTAGTAAATTCAATTTTTATATTTTGTAGACTTTTCCACTCCAGTTTTATACAAGGATTATTAAAATTTCCTAAGTTTGTTAGGTAGGAGATTTAAAGTTCCATCGTGTGCACATACATACACACACACGATACATATCTATCTAGCTACCTCTTTGTCTATCTAATCTATCACTTATTTATCCAGAGAGAGAAACTATTTTAATAATATGAGACTTTATTTGTTTTTTCAAATAATGTTATTTTCTTTAAGACTATTTGTTAAATAACATCCTTTTCATACATTATTGCTCACCTCACCTACTGTGTGCTACAGATTATCTTGGGCTTAAGGAGGTGAAAATGAAAGGATAAATTCACATCCCTAAAGGAACTTAAAGTACAAAATGATACACTAGAAAAAGATGGAAAGAGGTGTGGTCAGGCAGACAAAGTGAAATTTCAACAATTGTGTTTCCTCAATTCCTGTGTTTTGTTTTTCTGTGTTTTGTCGAATTTGTTGTACTTGACTTCCTACTTGGCCAGACTATGGTTTTCCCAAGAAAAGTTATAAAGTTGAGATCATAAGGCAAAGACATCAATTTTTGTTTTGAACATGAAAATTTTTTCTAAGTTGGAAACAGGAGGCTTTAGGAAGATTGTTGTGTCCATATAACTTCTCAGACTAGATTTAGATCCTACTAGCAGGAGGCAGAAAATAGACATAGGAAAAAATTAAAGTTGAATGGCTAGGGCTCTTTGAAGAGTCTTGCCCCATAAGTTGTTAAAATCTCTATCCCAAGTGGCATAAATCAAAGGAGAGTAAATAGGACCACTGCTTTAGGAATAGAGACTGTGCACTTTCTTTTAAAAGATTTCTCTGAGACAGCAAGTTCTGGAGTCAGTTCCCCATATCACGAAGGTGCATAGCAGTAAATAGAGCTGCACAGGGAGCCTGAGGAAGAGCTATTAAAGCCTTGTGTGGCCTGTGCACTATTGAAGCCACCAAATATTTTCCTGTGGTTTTTCAATTACTGTGAATATGACGTTATTCCTGTGGCTTAGAGAAGTCTTGCAGTATTCAAGCAACATAAAGATATGTAAAAGGAAATGAACCATGAGTCTGAAACCAGGTAGAGATGTCTGAGCCTCTTAAAAGAGTATATTAAAATAACAATCTAAGGCACTATATGCTGCAAGCCATGAAAAGTGTGGTTAACATTGTGCCAAGCAGAAGAATTTGCACGTAGAAAAGAGCTGGTGGTATGTGAGGAACTGACAACCCAGTGGGTAAGGAGTAAGTAGGTAAATGGCAAGACACAGTTGGGAGAGAGTGGGAGAAACCATACAGTGCAAGACCATAATAACACATCATTAAATTGCAATATGGTTACATTTGAAAAATAAATATCTTGTAGAGAAATTCTCAGCATATTATACGAAATCAAATTTTCTCCCTTCATTGATTTGTTATTCCAGATAAAGTTTAAAATATTTCCAAATTGTTAAAAAATTTAAATTCTAGGTTTTTTTGAACTGTGTAAATTACAGAATTTAATTTAGATGAGATTGGTATTATTTATTATTAAGTCTTCCTATTTATGAAGATGTTAACTTCTTCCACTTAAACAACTGCTATTTTATATCCCTGTATGGAGCATGCAATTTTGTTACATAAGTGTAGAAAAATTATTTTCAAGGTTTTTCCTTAGATCTGCAAATGTTCTGGTATGATTGTAAAAATCTTTTTAAAAATTATATTTCTTAAGTGTCTATTACTATTGTATATGAAATGTACTGATTCTTTTTGTATTTGTATTGTACTCAGCCAACACATTGATCCTATTGATTAATTACCTACTTATTTTTGGATCTGTTGAATTTTTAAGGAAACCCTTATATTTGCAAAGCCTAAAGGAGTAAGTTGTCCCTCTTTTTTCATATTTATATTTAAATTAGTTTATTGAGTTTTAGTTCTTTGTCTTTATTTTAGTTTTTAGGATTATCATAAAAATACAGAAAAATAGTGGTTTGAATGGTCGACTTTAGATAAAAGTTCTCTAATATATAATATCTTACCATGAGAGTAATATTGATTGACATCTCATGTTAATATTTCTCATCATATAGATATAGTATCTAACAGTCAATAATTTACTAAAAAGTACATTCACCTCTTCAGCAATAGAGATTGGATTTCATGATCTTTTGTGATTACTTGTTAAAAATGGACATTTTTTGACATTTTTATTATGCTTAAGTGTTTTAATAATTCTTGGTATTAAACTGTTTTTTTTCACACACACATATGTTTATATATACACATCTGTTACAGAAGCATTGCTTTCAAGGTACCAAATACAAATAGTATTTTTAGTAGATTCCATCTATATCAAGTTATGCTCTCTATATCTGATATAGAACGTTTCTTTGTGTATTTCTGCAATACTTATGTTCTTTCTTTGTTTCTCAAATTTCTATTATATGTAGGTCAGATTCCCTGAATTTCTCCTTGTCTATCACCAGTTTTGTTTTTGATGCTACTATTCTCAGTTCAGAAGATGTTCTTCAGTTTATCTTTTACTTCTTTGGCACAATCTTCAATCTGTTAATTCCATTGCATTTAAAAGTTACTAATTATATCCTTCAACTCTCTTTGATCCTTCCTTACATTTAATTACCTATCTTCATTGCAGTTTTCTATGGCTGTATAAATGGAGTACTCTCTTGACACAGGAAGGATGATAATACATTTTTGCTTATTTACTTGTTTACTTTTTCTTTTAATAGGATTGTGCATATGCTAAATGAAGTCCTTAGTAGTATTCAGAAAATCTGCCATCTTCTTTTGATTCACAGGATGCTTTTATAGGTTCTTTGTCTTTACTTTGTAAACTCTATTTATGAATGGAAATCCAGTCAAATAGGAATTCAGGTCAGTCCCACTGACTAAGATTGTTCTGGATACCTAATTACTACTTTTAGGAACGGTCTTCCAAGTTCAGATCCAGGACAAAAAGGGATAAACAACAATAGCAATAGCAACAGCAGCAGCACCTAGGAAGAGATGACCTGTCAGATTAAGATAAGTGATAAGAAACATTAAGATGGGTAAACTCAACTAGGATCTAGGTGCCATAGATATTGATGCAAACCCTAGTCTTTTCTAGAGGTGACTATTTCTGGGGCATATCTGAGGGATTCACCATTGTGTTCATTGTGTTCCTACCTTGTAATCAACAAACAGAAGTATTCTGATCCCAGTGATTCCTGAGCCTGTCCCAGTGATAGTCTACTCATACCCTCTTAACATCTTTCTCCTCCTGGAAGGGTGTGTGGGGAGCCTTTAATGTACAAAGGCTTTCTTAAAAAAAAAATATATATATATATAGTAATTTCTTCAAGTTTTGTTATATAATCAGTTATCATCATGGATTTCCACTAGGGGAGCACATTTTTATCTGGTAGTACAATGTCTTAAATATTTTATTAAGGAATTTAAAAAGAAATACGATAGATGCCTATGCTGCTCTGTTTTTGGAATTTCTTCCTAGTTAACTTGTATCTTCACTAGAAGGCAGGCACCTAAATGGACTTTCTGCTTCTGAACATTCATTATCTATTGCATTATCCATATTGGTGAATGAAAGCTTTCTCTTGAAAGCATGTACACACATGCACACACATACAATCTTTATGTGCTGAAGCACATAATTAGTAACTTTTAAATGCAATGGAATTAACAGATTGAAGATTGTGCCAGAGAAGTAAAAGATAAACTGAAGAACTTCTTCTGAACTGAGAACAGAAGCATCAAAAACAAAACTGGTGATAGACAAGGAGAAATTCAGGGAATCTGACCTACATATAATAGAAATTTGAGAAACAAAGAAAGAACATAAGTATTGCAGAAATATATAAAGAAACATTCTATATCAGATATAGAGAGCATAACTTTGTATAGATGGAATCTACTAAAAATACTATTTGTATTTGGTAACTTGAGAGCAATATTTCTGTAATAGTTGTGTATATAAAAATGTATGTTTGTGTGAAAAAAAAACAGCCAATCCATCGATTTAATTTTTATTACATTTTTCCAAATTTTTCTATCTCTTAGACTGGGCATCTTCACCATTGCTAGTTATGGTTTATCTTACATTTTTCAAATATTTATGACTTTGAATAATCTTAAGGTTTCATGTCTCTAAGCCCCTGTTTGTGCTATTTCTTCTGACTAAAATGTGCTATCCTGTTCCCTTTTTCCTCATTACCTACTATTCACTCTCAAAAATTTTGCTCAGGCATCAGCTCCATAGAGAAATGTTCCTGATTTCCTTCTCCCTCACTATTTACCAATTGAGCTCTGTACAAGTCCCACTGTAGTCTAGCATCTCTTATTAATTATATTACATTTAAAACACTGTTTAATTATCTTCATCTACTAATCTGAATCCACAAACATTACTTATATCCACTTCAAAAGAAAGTGTTTAGTATATAAGCATTTATTGAACGAATAAGACGAATAAGTGAGTTTCCTGTCTGGAGTTTTAAACTTGGGGCATCTTTGGTGTTTCTTGTCACGGAGAAGGCACAGAGTCCTTACCCTCTCTGCTTATGGTTAGCTCTGCAGGAATCATAGTTACTGGTGAAATTCCTCCTATGCCTAAGTGACCAAGAAATAAATAACAATATTTTGAAATTATTATTACTTGGAAAGAACTTCAAGTAATATCATTCCTGGAAAGGGAAGTTCACTGCTACTCAGACAGAAACTTTATCCACTTTTTTACTTGCCACTAAAGAAATTGTGTATGAATGAAGTTTTTAAAGATACAGGTATAAGTTTGGAATTGAGAAAGAAAACATAACTTAGTTTTATTTGTTCCCTATTTCTATCACCATAGGAGAGCTACCTAAGCACCCTTGTCCAGTTTCCATTAGGCATCTACGCTTTTCTCTATAAGCTCCTCAGAATATAGTTTATCTGAATGAGAATAACAGAAATTACCATAAACAGAAGAAGTAAACTATTTTCACGATCACCTATTTGACACTATTTTCTTCCTATATTCCCTTTGTTCCAAAGAATTCTTGGTGCTCACCTGGTTGCCGCGGAATTTCTCCAGCCCTCCTGGATGAGTTACAGTGATGGATTATTAGGGTGCATTGCTGTATCAATATGTTTGCCTTATCCTCTTTGGTCAGCGTATACAAAATATCTGAATATAAACTATTTCTAAGAGCAGCTCTATACTTAGCTGCATATCAGGAAGTGGTTAAATTATTTGCCTTGAGGAATTTTCCTTCCTTCAGTGCCCAGTGCCCTTTCCCATTCCCACACAATGCTTTGTTTAGGTTTGTAACAACGTTAAAGATGAATGACATGAAGTGGAAAGCAAGCACATGGTTTGCACAGGTGTGCTTGTCTTATAACTCAAATCTTTTTATGAGGATCTTTGACAACCAGGTCAATAGATTTAAAACCAAATACAAGGACTCTCTAGAAGGGTACTAAATTAATAGAGACAGTAAAAATACAATCCGCTGAATTACAGACATAAGATGAACTTGAAATGTTCTAGATTCACAAGGACAAGTCTAAAGTCATCCTGAGTATCCCTAATTTCCACTACCTACTTTTTTCCTTCCTATTCTGTTATTTCTGTCCTCCTATTTTGGAAGCCTAGCCATTCTTCTTAAAAGAATGATGCTAACCAATTTTCCTCTAAATTCAAATTGTTCACTAAACAGGTCAGCCTGCAACATTCCTTTGCAAGGATAGTACTGAAGTGCTCAAATTGCACTATTTACCTGAATATAAATTCCAGGAATTCTTGCATCAAAGTTAGGAAATCTCTGCTCATACCCTATTTTTTTAATTTAGGCATTCTCTTCAAAAAGTTCTTGTCTTTATATAAACACAGGCTTAAAGAAAACGTCTTATATTATTTTTTATTATTAGAAAATTTTGCACTGTATCAACTATTCCTCCAAGCAATCGTCTGTTTATTTAGATCTAAATGGTGACATAGTCTATATTGTGACTTTTTACATCTTTTATTGATAATCAATGGTATAAAATATTTCAAAAAATCATATTAAGACCATGGAAATTCCCACTGTAGGCATCTTCAGATGATACTAGCTTTTCTAATTCTTTAACCATGAAATGTTATTTATACAAGACCTAATTAAAATGTCATGTTTTGTCAAAATATGCATTGCTTTCCTAGGAAGTGTTAAGCAATTTCCTCTGTACTTCCAGGACACTTGTATAGTAAATTCCCTGTAGCAATAACTTTTATTTGTGTGTTTCTATCACACATCAGGATGTCAGCTCCTTGAAAATAGAGACCATTTTCTATTTTGTTTCCCCAATGCCAAGTTCAATATAAGAACAATATATTGAATTGCCCAATGCCAAGTTCAATATATAAACCATATATGAATCAATAAGTGTACATTTACTAGATATAGAATGAATGACTAAATACATTACCATAACAAAATTTGGGTTTTATATTAAGCCAATTAAAAAAGTTAAGCCTATTTATTTATTAAATAAATATTTATTGAGTTTCTTGTAACAGCCATCCCTTGTTTTTAGTTTTTGGGGATATCGTAGAGAACAAAACAGAATAAAAGTCTTGCCTTAATGGAGTTTATGAGGTTGAACAAAATGAAATTGTACAAATTTGACCATTTCATCCTCAGAAATGACAGTTGTATATGGTTCAAACTGACGTATTTTAGTGAAGACATAATGATAAGAAACTAAATTCAAAATTTTTAGAAGCAGTGACTATATTTTTCACTTTTATTAAATTCCCTAGGCTAGTTAACACGAGGGCTAGGTCAATATCACTGACACCAACCTAGTCCAAGTCTCCATCTTGTTTTACCTGGGTTACTGAAACAGCCTCGTAAATGGTCTTCCTGTTGCCTAGCCTCTGACTGTTTGTTCTTATCTGAGCAGCCCAAGTGACCCATTTAAAATGTCTATCAATCAGATCATGCCTCTGCCACTGCTTATTTTAAAAGGTTTGGTGAATCATTTGATTTTAGTTGCTTCATATAAAACCCTTGCAAAAAATGCCTTCTCGGTTGTGAGTATCATCCAGCTAAAGATACTTTCTAAGTAACTTTATTTGTAATTTGCCTATTTATCTGCATGATTCCAAACCTTTGATATTGATTGAGACTTTCTTATAATTTAGCATATGGTTTTATATTAGTAAATGTTCGATGCATACATGAAAATGTATTATGTTGTTCTTAAGAGTATTCTATTTAAATAAGGTCCAGTTTTCTTACTATGTTGTTTGGATCTTTATCTTTACTAATCCCCCCACCTACCGGCCCCTCAGTATTCTGTCAGTGACTGAGAGATATGTGTTAATGTCTCTAACTACAATTGAAAACCTTTGCAGCTGTGGGAATAGGATATTAAAAAACAAAACAAGCTTTGGAGGAGGGGTAGTAATACATGCTAGTCTCAGCACTACAGCTAAGGAAGAGGGAAGGGAGAGGAACAATTGTGAAGGCCAAAACCTTTAGGCCCACTGACACTGAAAATACTTACTTGCTCTCCGACCACCCGACCAGGATAACAAATATTAAGTAAAAATAACAACAGAATACTTCTGGGAGGTCTGAAAGAAGACTCTGAGGTGCAGTGCAAAGGGAAAACCTACAACTGAGAATGGGGCTAACACTGAGAATAACTATGTCATGCCTAAAAATAAGATATTGCTAGTAGAATTTCAGTTATTAATTCAAGTTTTCATAATTGTTGGTTCAAGGATTCTCATTTGCTTTTTGTCCTAGAAAGTAATCAAGCTTATCACTTATTTCCTTGAATGCATCAGCGCAATTAATGTTGAATTCATGGGTGTTAACTCTTGGATCTGTTGATTTTCTATCTTGTCTTCTTGTCTCATATTAGAACTTGCTCTTTTTGGATGCATTCCAAAGGATGTATATTTAAAATTGTAGAAGGGACTTGAGGCCTACAACAATGTTATCTTACTAAAAAATATTTGGTTCTTTCTAGAACCCAGAGGAATTAATAAATCCAGAACATTTTAATCACACTGGAGATTTGGATGATGCAAACACTTCCCACTCTGTAAGATCAAGTTTATTTCCAATTCACATTTATTCTGAGACTATAATCTGTTATGATTCTTCTTCAAACCACATTTGTTTACAAGCTTTCCCCTCCTTGTCAGATTCTGAACATTTTTTTTTCTCCCTGGTTCCATGTGTCCGGAGAAAGCTGCACTTAGCTGCACAACCCCTCAACTAACTTTTGAGGAGTTGGAAGAAGTTTTGGGAAACATGCCCCTCAAATCCAGGCTTAACTGGCTTTTCTTCCTGTCCTGAATATTAGCCCCATACTTCTTGCACTGTTTCAGTAGGCATTTCTATTTCATAGTAGTTTGCATGTCAGTCCTAATTTCATAGTATATAAATTCTGGTCTAAATGTAATTTTATTCATTTCTTAGATTTTGGGTGGGGTTAGACTTATTGTCACAAATTGACATTCCATGTGCATTGCTTTTCTCATGAATTGTCTGTTTAGGTGTTCTTACTCATGGTAAGTTTAGGGTGTGTATTTTGGCAAGAACACCATTTAATGATGCACTCTTCTCTGTGGATCATATCTGAAGGCACATAATGTTGTGTTGATAGTCTTATTTCTAATGATGTTAACTTTGATCATTTGGTTAAAGCACTGAATGTCAAGTTTCTCCACGGTAAAGTTAGTATTTTCATCATTGGATTTAATAAAAACTTTGAGGGAGATATGTTGAGGCATTGAAGATACCTTCTTTCTCTTCAAATATCTGCCCATTAATATTAGCACCCATCCTTGGATCTGGCTTACGGCAATTACTGCTGTGGGATTTGCCTACTGATGATTTACTAGTTTCCTCTTTTCACATTTAATAAATAAAATCATTATTTTTCTTCTTTCCTACTTGTTTATTTAATCTTTTATTTAAATCAGCATAGACTAATTATTTTATTCTATGGGTTACAATTCAAAACCCTCATTATTTATATTATTGCTAAAATTCTGTCACATTTCTTTTTATTTGCTGTCATTATACTTTTTCTCCTTTATACTGTATATGTATAGATAATATAAATTATCTACAAATCTATAATTTTTTTATTTGTTTAAAACTTCTTTCTTGAATGTTGTTTGTTCTCTTTTTACCTTCTGTTATTTTTTAAATTTCTCACTCTTTAGCTGAGGTATGTTTGATGTACGCCATTCTCTTATAGTTTATATTTCAATTTATTTCTTTTAATTTTTTTGTAACATGTAGCTGCAGTTTTCAGCTCCATGGTGGCCACATTGTTCTGGCGTGCCTTTTTTTTTGTTGGTTGAGCTATTATATGGTTCATTTTGTTCTTTTGTGTTGTCTTTGCATAGGTTAGTTCATATTTATTTTCTGTTGCTCCTAGTAATTAGGTTGGTTTCATGGACCACTAAGAGGATATTTCTGTGTAGGAGACAGAGATTGGCCAGATCATCTTGCAAAGATTCAGGACTCAATGGTTCCCCAGTGACCGTTAATGAGAACTCTCACATTATAGTCTATTTTATGTTCCCAAAGCTAAGGTTGTTTCAGAAAGTACTTCTGCCTACTATGACATTGACCTTGCAAAGCCCCAAAGCTTAGCTTTCTCAAATGACACTTTTCTGTATTTAATGTTTTTGCTTTTTTATTTATCCTTCAATTTTAATAATTATTTTTCTGGTATATAATTCTATGTTGAGCCATTTTTCAAATTAATATTTTTCATACATTATCTGCTACTTCTATTATGGTTTATTTTGGTCATTTATTAATGTCTCTTATTTGTATGTGGTCTGTCCTTTCCATCAAACTGCTCTTAAGGGATTCTCTTTGTCTCTTGCATTAGCCATTACTCTATCATGTATTTATTTGTGGACTTCTTTTATATTCTTCCAACATTGTATATGCATTATCCCTGGATCTGCAGATTCATGCTCTTCACCAGTCCTGGAAAATTATCACAACTGATATCACCTGTTTGTTTTATTTCCTTCTTCTGGTAGTCTAATAAGATATATGTTAAATGTTTTATTCTATTTTCCATATTGCTAAATGTTTCTTTCATATTTTCCTATATGATGATCTCTCTTTACTGATTCTGTATATGTACAAGTACACACACACGCACAGAGCTACTTTACTCATGCCACCAGGCAAAGAATTATTGCTAACCGAGCAACTCAGGTACTTGATAAGGGCAAATGAAATATGGAATGGGTAGTGGAAGAAGGTGGTTATAAATATCAGATACAAGCCCCTGACCAATTATAGAAATAAGGACTGATAGTTATAAATGTTTCTTTCTTATCTTGATATAAATTTGATTACATACCTTAATAAAATATTTTTGCTTTCTTGCCTTCATTTGCTTATCTCTCTAAATAAAATATCTTAACAATACTTAACCCTACTTGTTCGTATTTAAGTTATAAGATATCATAGGCCAAGTATAAATCAGCTTGAGAAGAGTGAACATCATTTAACAACAAAAAGGCATTTTGTAGCCTTTTGTGAGGAAAGAGTTAGTGTGTTTTCAGTTATATGAAAGATAGTTTTATCATATTAGGTGAACTATAATTTTAATATTGACTTTATTTCAAGACTAAGTATAGTAAAAGACGTGCATGGATGATGCCAAGTCTACAAGAGGTGGCTTTGTAATGTTTCTACTAGGCTAGGGAACTGCATTGCTCCGAATTCCCTTTCTTGTGCATTTCTGTTAAGGTTGGGCCACAAGGGAGATTTCTGTGAGATTTGGATGATGATAGGAATAAAGAGGACATTTTGTTGCAATGTTCTTGTTGGTCTGCTGCCTTATCATGTTGGCATGGAGCGGTACCTGGTTCTGCAATTGCTCTCTTTCCCTGTATCCTCCTTTAGCTTCTTTAACTACTGAAACAGGTAGGAGTGTGTGTGTGTAGGGGGGTGGGGGAAGGCGGCGTTTTTTAGCTTCATGATCAGAAGGCAACAGATTCTACCAGATACCCTTTTCACCAACGTCAGGGGCAATAAGAGCAGACATGGGTTTCAGTCCTTTCTCATGGAGGGTTTTAGTCCATCCTTGTGGAGTTCTAGCTTGTATTGTTCGAATTCCATCCTGCTGTGATCTTCCCCTCCTGATTTTTCTCCTGTGCCCTGTGAACTTCAGGTTCCATCACTGGACACAAACATGACCTTAAGGAGACCACTTAGACAGCCCCTGCAATTGTGTAAGTCAATTCACTATATAAAATGCACATTAAAATGACCAAACTTGAGAGGACTTCCACTGGCCAAAGCTGAGAATTTTTGTTCATCAAAATAAACAAGAGTGTAAAATAATATTCATGGAATAAAATACTGTACAGCTACTATTGACCCCGTTGAAATCAATAAGTAATTTTAGGAACAATAGTAACTAAATGAATAATATTTTCCCTTCAAATTACTTATTAGGTCAAAGGGGTACAATAATTGTGTATTAGCAAAAGCTAGCAGACACTAGATTCAATCAAGCAATAAAAGATTCTTATTTTATTCCATGAATATTTTGTTGCTTTCTTATTTATTTTGAAGCTCAAACTTTTCCAAATTTAGCCAATGGGAGTCCCTTTAAGTTTGTTTCTATGTATCTTAATTATATTTCTTTCAATCGTTGTGGAATTTATTTTGTAGCAAAGCAAGATATTCAAGATATTCTAGGGTTGTCATGTACTTTCTTTGCCTTCATCCTAAAATCAGCCATTTTCCTAAGTTCTTTTGTTCTTTTAAGTAGAGAATGGTATTCAGAAATCCAGTGTCTGGGGATTAGCTGTGCTTATTGCCCCTGGGTTGTGTTTACTTCCAGGACTATTCAGAGAGCATGAAATAGAGGTATAGATGTTAGTTTGGTACAAAAGTTATTGAAGTTTTGGTTAATACTTTTAATGGCAAAAACAACCATTTTTGCAGCCAACTTAATATATGCCTATAAATATGTACATACATAAATACATTATATGCAGTTATATCATGCATTATATCATGTTTATGCAGACACCTATAATTCCCATTCAATACCACTTCATCTTCTAAGTTGTTGTTTTTCTATACTTTGGCTGAATAACTATAAAGTACTGCATAGATATCAAGATAGTAACCTGATTCAATGATATTGATTCATTGCTGCTGTTGGGCAATCCTAAATTAGCATGATCTTCTGTTTTCACATTTTCTGATTTTTGTAACTCACATAAAGTTCAGCTGATTCAACTATTTTTTTCATCAGAAATATATCAATATCTTTTCTTGAACAAAATAAGAAAGTACTTCATATTTTACAAATATGATAGATTTCATGGCCTATTTAACTTTGGTTTAAAGAGGAATTTGATTCAAAATATAAATAAAAACAGTTCTTGTGATTAGATAATTCTTGGTCAACCGTACTTCATACCTCTGAGTACACCTTTAAAAACTAGTGGGCTTCCAAAATAAATAGTAATTTTTTTTTTGAAATGGAGTCTTACTCTTTTGCACAGACTGGGGTGCAGTGGCGCAATCTTGACTCACTGCAACCTCTGCCTCCTGGGTTCCAGGGATTCTCCTGCCACAACCTCCAGAGTACTACAGGTGTACACCACCACACTTGGCTAATTTTTGAATTTTTAGTAGAGATGGGGTTTCACCATGTTGGCCAGGCTGGTTTCAAACACTTGACCTTAAGTGATCTGCCTGCCTCTGCCTCCCAATGTGCTGGGATTACAGGCATGAGCCACTGCACCCAGCAGTAATTGAATTTTTAAAATTTCCCATGACAGCATTATTTAAATGTATGTGTTATTATTGCTCATAAAACCCTGTGGCTTAATACAAAGTGACTTATAATGGCTCATGTGACTGTTGGCTGTGGCTGGTGAACTGATATATGCTATACTGGACTGAGCAGTTCTGCTAATCTCAACCAGACTTGCTCACACATCTCTGGGTTGGTTGGGGGTGGTCAGTGATCTAAGCTAGGCTCAGATGGGTTCCATGTGTCTCTCATTATATGGCAATGACATAATTAAGTGAGAAGCAGAACCACAAAAAGGATCTTAAGGCCTAAGCTCAGTACGAAGGTACCATCCTTTCTGTTTCATTTCATTAACCAGATTAAGTTCATATGGCCATACACAAATGAATGGACAGGAAACTATACTCCTTTAGAAAAAAAAAAAACTGCAAAGTCATATTGCAAAGAGGTGAACACAGAAAGGGAAGAAGGATGGTGTCAATAATTTCACCTAAGACCTTCTAGACTCCTGGTGTACATCACTGTCATCACTAAGGACCTGCTTAGGAATACAAAATTCCAGGTGTTTCATATGTAAACATGGAGAAGAGTTAATCTAAGGATATAACTCCACTTAAAACTGGAGAAGAGTTGACCTAAGAATATAGCTACCACACTACCCGGCTCACTTTCTTACTTAAGCTCCTTATTACTTCTTGAATTCTGCAGGTGTGCATTGAGTCCAAAGCCTTTGCTGTTACTGTTCTCACTATCTAGAACATTTTCACTATATATATATATATATATATTCTGATATATATATATATATTCTGATATATATATATATTCTGATATATATATATATTCTGATATATATATATATATTCTGATATATATATATATATATATTCTGATATATATATATATATATTCTGATATATATATATATATTCAGAAACCCAGTGTCTGGGGATTAGCTGTGCTTCTTGCTCCTGGGTTGTGTTTACTTACAGTACTTACAGGAGTATTCAGAGATATATATGTATATATATCCACATGGCTCGCTATGTCTCCTCTGTAAGTCTCTGCTCAATTGTCACCTCATCAAAAAGACTCTTCCTGACTGCCTGACTTAAAATAGCAGTATATCTCCAAGCTGTCACCCACTTTCCTTCAATCACCCTTTATTTTCCACCATAGCACTTGGCTCGTTATGTATATTTTGCTTAAATTTAGTTTATCCTTATTAGAATGAAAGCTTTAAGAGAGCAAGGGCTTTTATGTTTTATTTACTATTGAGTCCTTGGCATCTAGAGTAGCCCTGGACATTTAATATGTGCTCAATAAATATAAGTTAGTAATGAATAAATTGAAATATTTATATAGAGTTAATTTTTTAATTGAGAAAAATTTATTGCAATGCTATAACAAATTATAAAGTTTAACTGTGTATCAGGATTATATTTGCTTGCAAGTTGTAAGTCATGCTCCCTCTTCCACAAAGGAGATTAAACAGTATACAGGTTTATCTATTTTTCTTATAAAAAGAAATCCATATTTTATCAGTTCAGGGCTACTGTGTAGCTCTACAACATCTCTGTTGCCTCAAGGTCTTATTTTTCATCTCTACTGTATTTAATCCTAATTCATTTTCTCAATTTTGCATCCTGTTTTAAAATAACTAATGCAGCTCTAACCATCATTTCTGATTTCCAGGTAGGATGAATAAAAAAGAGAAAAAGAAACAAAGTTATGTGTTGGGTGAATCTTTTTTTTTTTTTAAGGCACTTGCCTACAAGTCCCTTCTTCCAATTCCTATTAGTGTTAATGGCCAGGACTTACAAAGTAGCCATTCCTAACTCCTCTTACTACTTCAAACAAGTTAGAGTTCTATTAATGTAAAAGAAGCCCTGCTATTGTATGTTTGCTTTTATTCCTGGGCATTGTGTATGTGGCAATTTGGAACTTTGCTCAGACCAGATTTTACATAAAAGAGGAATGCATTTATCTTTTGTTGTCAAAAAAAGTTTAATTTTTTTTTCTGATGGATTAAAAAAATCACAGTAATAAAAATTTGACTCAAAGTAAAAACATTTGTTGTCAGAAGAAATCGATGAATACAAATAGCATTATATTCACATACTATTCTTCAAAACTTTGTTATAAAATTGGTTTTATAAATTATGTGATTTTTCATTTATCTCAATTGAATAAGCTTTGGCAATGTAGAAAGAAGTTTAAAATGTGAAAGTTTTGTGAACATTAATGTTAGGTAATATAATTACTAGAAAGTTATATTTTGTCATTTTAAAGATTTGTTTTCTCAAATCCTTATTCAGCAGTAATGCTATGTGACTTTCACACCTCTCCAGTTAAAATTGATTCTCTCAGCTGAACAGAGTCCTGAATCAAGATGTTACTCTCATATTAAAATTATGTAACAAACAAAACATAATTCCCTGGTTGTTAACACTTATGTGCAGTGATTCACTCTGAATCTTCCAGAATGCCCTGTAGTGCTTATTTACAACTATGAAGATAAAGAAGTTCTCTGCAAGTTTATAAAATTGCCCTCTAAAAGAGAGCCTCATCTGTCTGGAAATAGAAGTCTTTAAATCACACAACTAATGATGTGGTACAGTTGCTTCCAAGGGAGTTTGTAGTGGCAAAATCAGTGCAGCACTCACCTGCCACTTACCTTTGTCTTGCTAAATTTCCACAAGGGGCTGTCTTGTGTTTTACTTGGTAATTGCACCAGACCACTTTTTGAGAGGACTAAAGAGTTCCCCTGGCCTAAAGAGTTCCGCTCTGGAGGACACTACAACTGCAGGGCCCCTTCTTCGCCTCTATCCAGCAGGAAGTAGCTAGAGTGGTCATCAGCCAAATTCCAAAGAGCAGTTGGGGTGTCCTGTATAGAGGGGGGATTGAGGGGTGACAACGTGCTAGCAGCCCTTGCTTGCTCTCGGAGCCTCCTTGGCCTTGGCATCCACTCTGGCCACGCTCAAGGAGCCCTTCAGCCCGCTGCTGCACTGTGGGGGCCCCTCTCTGGAGCTGGCTGAGGCTGGAGCCGGCTCCCTCTGCTTGTAGGGAGATGTGGAGGGAGAGGTGCGGGCAGGAGCTGGGGCTGTGTGTGGCGCTCATGGGCTGGTGCAGGATCCGGGTGGGTGTGGGCTCGGTGGACCCCACACTCGGTGGGCCCCACACTCGGTGCAGCTGGCTGGTGCCTGCTGGGCTTGATCGGGGAATGAGTTCCCTTTGGGCTGCTGGAGTGCTCAGGCTAGGTGCTGCAAAGTCCCATGGTGAGTGCCATTGAGAGGTGAAGCCAGCTGGGCTTCTGGGTTGGGTGGGGACTTGGAGAACTTTTCTGTCTAGCTAAAGGATTGTAAACACACCAATCAGCACTCTGTGTCTAGCTAGACATTTGTAAATGCACCAATCAGCACTCTGTGTCTAACTAAAGGTTTGTAAATGCACCAATCAGCACTCTGTGTCTAGCTAATCTGGTGGGGACTTGGAGAACTTTTGTGTCTAGCTAAAGGATTATAAATGCACCAATCAGCACTCTGTGTCTAGCTAATCTGGTGGGAACTTGGAGAACTTTTGTGTCTAGCTAAAGGATTGTAAACGCACCAATCAGCACTCTGTGCCTAGCTAAAGGATTGTAAACGCTCCAATCAGCTCTCTGTAAAACAGGCCAATCAGCTGTCTGTAAAATGGACCAATCAGTAGGATGTGGGTGGGTCCAGATAAAGGAATAAAAGCAGGCCACTCCAGCCAGCAGCAGCAACCCACTCGGGTCTTCTTCCACACTGTGGAAGCTTTGTTCTTTCGCTCTTTGCAATAAATCTTGCTGCTGCTCACTCTTTGGGCCTGCGCCGCCTTTATGAGCTGTAACGCTCACCACGAAGGTCTGCAGCTTCACTCCTGAGGCCAGCGAGACCATGAAGGAATGAACAACTCCACACACACCACCTTTAAGAGCTGTAACACTCACCTTGAAGGTCTGCAGCTTCACTCCTGAAGTCAGTGAGGCTACAAACCCACCAGAAGGAAGAAACTCCGGACGCATTTGAACATCTGAAGTAACAAACTCCGGACACACCATCTTTAAGAACTGTAACACTCACCACGAGAGTCCACGGCTTCATTCTTGAAGTCAGCAAGACCAAGAACCCACCAATTCCGGACACATTTTCAATGTAAGAACAGAAATTTCAGGTCTTCTTCCCTGAAATACCTTATTTCACCCCTCCTTTATTTCCACAAACAAGAGTATAAGTTAAGCTGAACTCAAATAGAATAAAAATCAGATCAGAGTTTTGTTTTGTTTTGTTTTTGCAATAAAGAATTTCTAAGTCCTTTCAACACAGTTCACTGAACTCTTGTATTTGTTCATTAATGGCTGTATGGGGTAAGATAATGTTGATACAAGGATCTCTAAGAATGTAATTTCAAGTTCAGATTTTGGGCTAGGGATTTGAGACAGCCCACACATAAATTGAAGACACACAGCAGCTCAGCCTCCACAGCATCTTGGCCCCTACCGCAGGGGCCTCCTCTGCTTCTTTCCCTCTTTTCATTCTTCCCTCCTGCCCTGCCAGATCAGGAGATCTTCTTACTTTTACTTTCACTTTCCCAGACCTCCCACACAACTTTTTCTTGGCTCCCTTAATAGTTCCACCCAGTCTTCAACATCAGGCCTGCTCAGTATGGTCCTTGTGTAAACCCAAAACTTCTGCATTTTTATTCACTGCCTATTATGTATTTGATTCCTACAATAGCTATGTCCTGATAACTCTTAAGTTAGAAGAGGTACACCCTGAACATTGAAGCTACTGTTATTTTATACATCCTGGTAGATTAAAATGGCTTTGAATAGATACTTAGACTTTCCCAAAACAAACCAAATAAACAAACAAAACACCTCAGACCACACTGCAGCCCCGGATGGCTATGTAACTATAAATATATATATTTCCAGACCATTGCCAGTTCAAAGGGTCTTTTCTAACCCCAGGAAATATAAGTCTCTGATATTTGTTTCCATAGCACCCTGCACTTAGCAAAGGATGATAGGTTAGAAAAGGCTTAAAATGTCTGTATTAGGAACTTTATAGTGGTTTTTATATGTGACTCAAGGAAGGAAGAACTCAGTACCCTCTATATCGATGTTCAGAGAACCACTACTTTTTGTGGTCAGTCATTACCCATAAGGCTTGAAAATAGAAACCAGTTCAGAGGACTGTTTCTCCCATTCATTCCTACAACTTACTTCCATGTCAACTTAAAGGAAGAGTGAGAGAGATACCTGAGGATAATATTTAGGGAATGCAGAATTTTGGGGGAAAAGTAGATAGAACAGAGGAGAGAGGAGTGCCTGTTACTAAGCTGAGGCTGAAGTCCTTGAGACTGGCTCTAAATTGATGATTATAAAAGCTACTGTTATAATGTACAGGATGATTTATTATACTATTGTCTTCTGTGTGTGTGGTTGAATATTTCCTAGATAAAAACTTTTAAAACAAGTTAAAAACATGAGTGAGAACCCAAAGGAAATAACCTGTGACTGACAGTGTAAGAATGGAAGTCAAGGATTTTCTGGATACATAGATATATGCTCAATCAGCAGATTTAGTAACATGCCCCCATGCTATCAGAACAGGGTCAAAATAATCCAGAAGGAAAGGCATAATGAGAGGCTGATAGGCAGAGAGGGGGCATGGACTGCCAACCAATACCACTATCTGCCTTATATAAGGTATTTTAAATAAGCCCTATAAATTAATGGGCATCAGATTTGACTCTATTAATAAAAGAAATAGGAGAACTTAAAATTTTTGATGAGGAAGGGGAGCAGGCACAACAGAGAAATATTATATCAAACCTCTTGAGATAAACCAAAACATGCAGCTAAATTTATATGGCAAAGACTGATACCAAGAAACATTCTTCATAAATGACCCCCTCATTTGTGGGGTACATAGGATCCCCCCCACTTTGGGGGATCATCAAAGTGTGTATACTTTGAGATCTCAGACAATCTGCTACAACAGTAGTTACAGAGATAAAGTTTTTTTTTTATTATACTTTAAGTTTTAGGGTACATGTGCACAACTTGCAGGTTTGTTACATATGTACACATGTGCCATGTTGGTGTGCTGCACCCATTAACTCGTCATTTAACATTAGGTATACCACCCCACAACAGGCCCCAGTGTGTGATGTTCCCCTTCCTTTGTCCGTGTGTTCTCATTGTTCAATTCCCACCTATGAATGAGGTGTTTGGTTTTTTGTCCTTGTGATAGTTTGCTGAGTGGAAGTTAGTGTGGTGATTCCTCAGGGATCTAGAACTAGAAATACCATTTGACCCAGCAATCCCATTACTAGGTATATACCCAAAGGATTATATATCATGCTGCTATAAAGACACATGCACATGTATGTTTATTGTGGCACTATTCACAATAGCAAAGACTTGGAGATAAAGTTTTTCTCATACTCTTCAAGGAGGGGAGCTGTTTGAAAAATGTATGTTTGAAAAACAGCTCCCCTTTCCTTCAAACGTCTATAATATAAAAAGGTCAACTTCAAGGGGGTGGAGAGAAAGAAACTTCATCAGAAGCTGAGGTTTGTATTTCAAAAATGAACATATTTGAATTTTAAAACCAAAATCGGACTGTTCTAATAACATAAAATGATAACAATGTATTGAAGAGGATTGGGTTCACATTAAGATTTTCCACTACCCAGTGTGAAAATAGGTTTCTCATGCCTGGCTGAAGGCCAAATTTTGAGAAATAACACTTTTCCTTATTTATCTTTTGGGATAAGCTTTCTAAAGAAAATATTAAAAATGTAAATCTCTTTCATAAGGGCAAAGCTGTATCTGCCCTGCCCTCCAATATTTGCCTATGATGTAGCACAATGAGTAATTAACATGCATTTGTAGAGTAAGTGAATGAACAAAAGTGAATGAACAAATAATGAATTAGCTCACTGTTTAGTTCATTGTACAGCAAGCAGAAAATTATGATACGATATGATTAATTGTATGAAAGGAGTAGATAAAATAATATATCTCAGTTTTGAAGGTTCAAAGAAACATTGCTTGAATAAGTGTCATCTAAGCTGAGAGTTAAAAGATGATTACAGGATGTTTTGGGGGCATTATTGATAAATTGTCATGGAATCCTTAAGGTAGAAACTATTTTTATAATAATAGTAAGGTGCATTTTCATTTTTTTTTTCTCATTCCTTTGAGAGTGGACTGTGGAGTTATACAGGGGCTATGGTACATGTTATAACATTAATTCCAATAAGTTTTTACTGAAACATAAAAAGCATTTCAAAAATATGCCACAATGTTATATTTCTTATTTAAAACATTTTTTACTTTAGAAAACATGGAAATTTCTATAAGTACATATGATTTATGATACAATATAGAATGTTTATAATTGCTATTTTAATTAATTAATTAACATTTAAGGCCCAATGCAGCGGCTCACTCCTGTAATCCTATCACTTTGGGAGGTCGAGGCAGGTGGATCACGTGATGTCAGGAGTTCCAGACCAGCTTGGCCAACGTGGTGAAACCCAGACTCTACTAAAAATACAAAAATTAGCTGTGCATGGTGGTGGGCACCTGTAATCCCAGCTACTCGGAAGGCTGAGGCAATAGAATCCCTTGAACCCAGGAGGCAGAGATCGCAGTGAGTCAAGATCGCACCGAGTCAAGATCGCACCATTGCACTCCTGGGTGAGAAGAGTGAAAATCTATCTCAACAAACAAACAAAACACATTTAAAATTTATCTGTTTTACTTTGTAATGTTACAAATATCAACAGATATGATCCACATATGCAAAAGTTCTCTGAAGTAATCAAGAACATTTCATAAGTATAATTAGTTTCTGAGATCATAAACTTTGGGAACCAGTGGACTGGGTTTTGATGTAGTAACAACTCCCAAAATCTCAATGGCTTTACACAACAACAATTTACTTCTCACTTAACATTCTATGCTATCCATAGGTAAGCAAATTTGGCCAGTCAGGAAACAAAGCTATGGAGTAATCTTCATCTCAGATGTTGCTGTTTGCTAGGCTAAAGCGTAGCCTGAGATCTGTAAGGTCTTATTAGGCAACAGAGTACTTGACCTAGAATTAAAACACACCAGGTTTCTCAAATCAAAATGACTACATTTATCCATGTGGCCACATCTAACCACAGGAAAGCAGAAAAAGTGCAAACTAAACTTGTAGCCAGAAGGGGGAGTCAGAAATATTAAGAGAAGAATGTTAATGACTACCACAGGATAAACTCCAAAGAGAAACCAAAGTAAGTTTTTATATTAAATAAGGATAAATTAAAGGATAAATTAATACTAAGGTGAAAATATTTTAAAAAAATAAAAAATAGAAGTTATGTCTGTAAAAATGGTAAAGGAGTTTCCAAAAGCCTATCCTGTCACAAAAACAGCAAATAAACTGGTAAGAAAAATATGATAATCAACTATCTCAGAATTCTGGAAACTAAACAAAAGTTTACAGCATCCAAAAGAATGACTAGTCCAAATATAGATTATTATAAATAGTGATGTTATTTTTAGTCCTGACAGTAACCACTAAGAAAATAACTAAGAATATATATAGTAAAAGAAATAAGGAGATCAAAAGTGGGCCTGGAAAATATTTAACATAAAAGAATGTAGTAATGTAGGAATTGAGGAATAAAACAATATAGGACATGTAGAAGACAAAGAGCAAAATGGCAGAAGTAGGTCTTTATCAGTAATCACATAAAATACAAATGGTTTTAATTGTCCAATTAAAAGAAAGAGATTAGAAGAACAGATTTAAAAAGGAAAAATCTAGTTCAACTGTATGCTGCCTGTGAGAGACTTACATTAGATCCAAAGACAAAAATAGGTTGAAAGTAACAAGATGGTAATAGATATGCAGGCAAACAGCTACCAAATGAATGATGGAATGGCTATCCTAATATCAGACCAAATAAATTTAAGATAAAAATTGTTACAAAAGACAAAAGAGAACATTATATGATGATAAAAGGTCTAATCCATCCAGAATATATAAAAATTTAAAATTTATCAGCACTTAACAACAGGGCTCAAGACCTATGAAGCAAAAATGGATAAAACTGAGTGGAGAAATAGTCAACAATGATAGAGAATTCAATAACCCACTTGGAATAATGGATCAAACAACTGGAGAAAATAGAAACAAGGAATTAGAAGACTTGAACAACACTTGAAACCAACCAGACCAAACACAAATATTAACAACTCAAACCAACAATAGTAGAATGCACATTATTTTCAGAGACACATGGAACATTTTCCAGGCTAGATTATAAAACAAATCTTATTAAATCTAAAAGATTAAAATCATACAAGGTATCTTCTCTGACCAAAGTGGAATAAAATTACTAATCAATAGTAGAAGGAAAAATGGGCAATTGAAAACATATGTTTAAATTAAGCAATGCACTTTTAACCAACATGGTCAAAGAAAATTCAAAAGGGATATTAGAAAATACTATGGGACAAATGAAAACAAAAATGCAATATACCAAATGGCATAGGATCTTATAAAAGCAATAGTCAGAGGAAGATTTATAGTTGGAAATGTCTACATTAAAAAAAAAGAACAGAAAAATCTCAAATTATCAATCTAACCTCCCACTTTAAGGACTTAGAAAAAAATAAGAGTGAACTAAACCAAAAGCAAGCAGAAAGAAGGAAATAATTAAGGTTAGAGAGGAGATAATTAAATTGACTAGTGAACAGAAAAACGGAGAACAAATAAAACCAAAAGTTGGGGTTTTTTCTCCCAAAACATCAACAACATTTTCAAACCATTAGCTAGACTGACCAAGAAAAAAACAAAGACTCAAATTACCAAAATCGGTAATGCAAATCATGACATTGCTACAGACCTTACAGAAATAAAAAAAGGATTATAAGAAAATATGATGAAAAATATGTACTCCAAAAAAATTAAATAATCTAGATGATATGAAAAAAAAATCCTGGAGACACATAAACACAAACATGAACTGAAGAAGAAATAGAATGTGTTGTCTGAGTAGTCCTGTAACAGAGAGATTGAATTAATAATATTAATAATAATAAAACGACTTCCAACAAAGTAAAGCTCAGGACCAAATACATTCTGGTGAGTTTTACCGGTAAATTCTATGAAACATTTAATGAAGAATTAACAGCAATTCTTCTAAAACTCTTTGAAAAAAATAGAAGAGCTATATTTCCTAATTTCTTCTATAAAGTCCATTTTATCTTGATACCAAAGACAAATACATCACAAGAAAAGAAAACTACGGACCATATACTTTATGAGTATAAATAAAAAATTATTCAACAAATATGAGAAAGCTATATTCTTCCAGCATTAAAAGGATTATACACCATGACAAAATGGAATTTATCTCAGAAACAGAAGGATAGTTCAACATATAAAAATAAATAAATTTAATAGATTATAATGTATTATTCCACACTCTTACAAAAAAAAAAGGACAAAAAAGCACAAACATTTTAAGTGATGTAGGAAAATATTTGACAAAATCCAACATTTTTAATGATAAAAACATTCAATGATCTAGGAATAGAAAAGAACTTTCTCAAAACTATAAAGTATAGCTATAAAAATTCATAACTAAGATTATACATAATGGTGAAAGATTGAATATTTTCCCATAAGATCAAGAACAAGAAGATAATGTTTGTTCTTATCATTTTATTCCTCAACATTGTACTGGAAGATCTAGTCAGGGATATTGAGTAAGAAGAACTAGAAGGCATCAAAATTGGAAAGAGAGAGAGGAAAAACTATATTCACAGATGGCATCATCTTACATATAAAAATCTTAAAAACTGTTAGAGCTAATAAATTTGGAAAAGTTATAGGATAAATTTCAGTATTAAAAATCATTTCTATAAATTAATAATGAACAATCAGAAAATAAAATTAAAACAATTCTACTTACAAAAGTATCAAAATAAAGAAAATACTAGTAAATTTAACCAAGAACATGCAAAACTTACCCCCTAAAAACTATGAAATATTGTTGAAATAAATTTTAAAACATCTAAATAAATAAAAGGTCCTCTGCAGTTTATATGTTGAAAATCTTAATATCATTTGTATGGCAAAAATCTCCAAATTAATTTATGGATTCAATGTAAGTCTCATCAAAATTTCAGCTGCAGTTTTTTTCAGAAATGGACAAGCTGATCTTAAAATTCATATAGAATTGCCAGAATTCCAAATAAGCCAAAAGAATCTTGAAAATGAAAATCAAAGGTGGAGAACTCAAATATTCTGATTTCAAAACTTACTACAAAGCTGCAGTAATATGTGGCATATTGATAGACACATAGATCAATGGAATAAAATTGAGAATCCAGAAAGAAACCCAGACATTAATTTTCAATAAGGGTCCCAAGACTATTAAATGTGGCAGGAATGATCTAACAGTCTAACAAATGGTGCTGGGACAACTGAATGACCACAGGTGAAATAATGAAATTAGAACCTTGTCTCACACTATATAAGAAAAAATTAATTCAAAATGATCAAAGACCTAAATTTAATACCTGAAATTCTAAAACTCTTATAGGAAAATTAATAGGAGTAACATTTTATAACTGAGGATTTGGCAGTGGATTCTTAGATATAATGCTAAAATCACAAGCTAAAAAAAATAGGCAAACTGGACTTCATTAAAATTAAATACTTTGTTCATCAAAAGAAAAATCAATAAAGTTAAAAGACAACCCACAGAATGTGGGAAGATATTAGTAAATCTATATATATTTAATAAGGGCCTAGTATCCAGATTATATAAAGAATACTCACAGCTCAACAACAAAAGGACAACCCAATTTAAAAATGAACAAAGGCTTTAATAGACAACTTTCCAAAATAGCATGCATTTGGCCAATAAGTACATGAAAAGATACTCAACATCATTAACTATTAGGGAAATGCAAACCAAAAACCACAAAGAAAACTACTTCACACCTACTAGTTTAGATAAAAGAAAGAAAAATAAGGGTTGGCATGGATGTGGAGAAATTTGAAGTCACATGGAATGCTGTTGGGAATGCAAAATGATGCAGCCATTCTAGAAAATAGTTTGTAAATTCCTGAAAATGTTTAACATATAATTAATATATAACCCAGAAATTCCGCCTAGATATCTACCGAAGAGAACTGAAAATAGGTGTTCAGACATTTGTACGTCAATATTTGTACATACAATATTTGTACGTCAATAGAAGCATAATTCAAAATTGCCAGAAAAAGTGGAAACACCCCCAAATGTCCATCTACTGACAAATATAGAAACAGAGTGGTATATCCATATAATGCAATATTATCCAACTATAAGAATTATAAAAACCTTATCCGTGCTACCACATAGATGAACCTTGAAACCATCATGGTAAGTGAAATAAGCCAGACACCAAAGGTTTCACATTGTTTAGTTCCATTCATATAAAATGTCTAGAATAAGCCAATCCATACAGACAGAAAGCAGATTGGTGGTTGCCATGATTGGGGAATGGTAGAATAGAAAGTGACTCCTTATTGAGTATGGGGTTTCCTTTTCAGGTGATAAAATATTCTGTAATTAGATAGTTGTGATGGTTGCACTACATCGCAAATGTATTAAAGTCACTGAATTGTACACTTTAAAATGATGAAAATGGTGAATCATGTAGGAATTTTATCTCAAGCAAATATAAATAAATACATGTAAAAATAAACCTTTGTCTACTATAAAGTGACATATGAATATTCATTTTAGTATTATTCTAGTTTCAATGAATGTACTTCATTACAATATTTAACACAAGGGCAAGAAAAGCTCTAGAGGAAGATCCTGATGTCAATTTTAGACACAGAGAGTTGAACATTACATCAAATAATAAAGGGGGTGCTGAGACTAGAGACAGATATGTGGAATATATAAGCATATTGTTGAAAGCTGAATACACGGAATTGAAGGAAATTTCTCATGTAAAGTGAAAAGAAACGGGCCTGTGACAAAGCCCTGAGGTTATAAGCACTTTAGACGCAGGCAGTAGGAGAGTGGAAAACAATGGGTCTTATCACGAATGCCAAAGAAAGATAGTATTCCATGGAAAGAATAGACAGAATTACTGAAACTTGCCCATTTGTCTAAATAGGAAATACATTTTTATTGTAAAAAATTTAAGTAATATTGATTGTGTTCAGTTCACTTACACTCCTGGAACGGAAAGTAGGATCCGTGTGATTATTTATTTACTTATTTACTTATTTATTTATTTATCTGATATAGGGTCTCACTCTGTTGCCCAGGCTGAGTGCAGTGGTGTGATCACGGCTCATTGCAGCCTCAACATCCCCAGGTTCAAGTGCTCCTCCCATCTCAGCCTCCTGAGTAGCTGGGACTACAGGCACACGACATGATGGCTGGATAATTTTTTGTATTTTTTGTGGAGACGGGGGTCTCTCTGTTGCCCAGGCCAGTCTTGAACTCCCTAGCTCAAGTGATCCTTCCTCCTCAGCCTCCCAAAGCGCTGGAACTACAGGCATGAACCACCATGCCTGGCCAGCCTAACTTAAATAAAACGAATTTTCAAATTTCATTCCACTCAAAACTTAATAACCACCAAGTGGTAAACGCCGTGCATGTGTGTGCATGCACACACACACACACATTCACTTCACTTATGGTTTAATTCAAATTTCCTAAAGAACAGATGCAGTAACCAAGTTGAAGAAAATTTACAGAAGCATTAAATTATATTCACTGGCTTAATGATTTTAAAGATGAGGGAAATTAACATGACTAGCAATTTTGATCAAATTTCAAGAGGATCACGTGTAATGTATAATGGTGTATGTGTATGTGCATGTGCACATGTACACAACTATTAAATAGTATAACTTGAATATGAAACCAGGATTTTGGGAGCCTATGCCAAGGACAATTGTACAACATTTCCTATATTGATTCACAAATGGAAAGTTGTTTGAAGATGACTGAGTTGCTTCACTAAACCAATGAAGGCTGGGGACATGTAGGAGCCAGTTCATCTGGCTTCACATTTGTTACCAATGGAAGTGAGCGGAACTTTTTTTTTTTTTTTTTTTTTTTAATTTTAATCCCAGGACTAAGGCAGCTATTGTTAGGAGACAGGTAAGGAGCAATGTCTAAGCAAGTGATGGGCTTGCCATTTCCAGCTGGTTCTGAAGAAGAGGGAATTGTGAACTGAGCAGGACCTTGTGCTATTTCTACTACAATATACCTTCCCAGGATTAGTCATTTTACTCATCCTGCTGAGGACAAAATAGATGGAGGAAAACACATCTACAGGTAGTCACATGGAAGCTTTACTTCTGTGTTGCTTTTCCATGTTTAGTATGACGGTTACAAAACAAACTCTCCTCAGAAGGCTCTGGTTGAGAAGAAAACATTCGAAATTATTCTAACATTATTTATTATATTGTTCTAAAATTATATGCTCATACTTTAGAATTACTTGAACTGCCATGGATCTGTAATGGTGCGCTAAACTTTCTGATGACAATTGTGTTTTTATCAATTTTTCTTTTCATTTCTAATGGGTTTTGCTTTATACATTTTTCATGAAATGTTAATTTGTCGCAAAAGGTTCATGATTGTTGCAGGCTTTTGTGGATTTGTATCTTTTAATCAATATAAAACTACCTTTTTCATCGCAGTACATCCTCTTTACCTTCTTCTCTATTCTGTCTCATACTAATTTTACCACACCTATTTGCTTTTGGCATTTGTTTAATAAATCTTTGCTTGTCATCTTACTTACTGCCTTTGAAATTTTTTTCCGTTTGGATTTTTTTTTAAATAGAACTGGAAGTTGTTATTGTACACTATGTGGTAAAGTAACTTTTAAAAGAAAGATTTATTATTCCATATATGGACATATATCTTATGTTGTTTATTGTTTCTATACTCTTCTATTATGCTTTTAGGCATACTTGCAGTTTATATTTAGATCTGCATTTTGTTGTAAATGTCTATTTTTTGTTCTCAATTATTTTCTGCATGATTAGACTCTAAATGTAAATGCTGTTAGGTATTTCAATTTTTCCTTAAAGTTTAAAAATGCAAATATCACAATGAAAGTAAATTATTTCTTAAAATGCCATTTTAAAAATAGATGTGTTTGGACATTCTTCTATTCTTTAAATCTGTCCTCCAATTTTTGTTAATCTAGATTGTGGTTATAAATATAATACTTTATTAACCAATTCTTTGTCTTTTTCATTGATTTAAAATTCTTCAATACATTCAAAGATCATAAGCTAATTAATTTGGGAGTTCATCTCAAAATATTTAGGGTCACAATTATTTGGTGAAAATTGGATTTTGCTTTTATTGTTTTTGCATAAGTCTTCAAGCAATTTATCCATAAAAGATACATGTTTCTTAAGTTCATGCTAATCTCAAGATGTCTTACTATCTTTTGTTTTCACAGACCAGCAACAGAATAACTGTTAATATATATATTTACAAAGTGTAATTATGTATGTACAAAGTGCAAATATATGTATATATATATATATCAAATACTATATAAGTGTTATAATTTCAAATGTTAACATTTATCTTTACATTCTTAAACATTCCAGGTATTTAATATTCTTATATATATTTGGGATTTTTAGACAAGGATGAAAACAGTTGGATTTTGGTTTAGTTATCAATAGACTAAATTGTTTTCTTAAATGTTTATATTTTTTCTTTAAGTTTAACAATTTCACCATGTCATTTATAGTTATAATTTAATATCCAACTATTTTTATAAACATAATATACAATTTCAATTTTAAGGCCAATGTATTAGTAATTTTGACAATTTCGTTAATTCATTTGCTTCAGCTCCATCTCTCCTTTAGAAATTACTTTTTATTTACTGGTTACTTGAATATTTTCTCTTTAAATATTTTTTCATATTATACTACCTAAATATGATATTCATCAAGAAATTCATATCTCCTGCAGAAGTCTTATCTTCTCTTAAAAGTCTTCATTAGTTCTTCAAGGGTGATAACTGGGTTTTTCTTCTACTTGTCTTTCTACTTTTTAAATTGTTCCCTATTCCTAACTGATGTCACGCTCTAAATTTTATTAGAAACCTGGTTAATATTTTCTTTTTATCTGTATATTGTTATACATCTATATCAAAAGGAAGCAGCTCTCCTGCTTCCTCAGGGTTTGAAATTTAATTTTTTTTATCTATGTCATAAGTTATATTTTCTGAATATATCTTTAGGGAATTAGGAAGGACTTCCATTTAGTACATATTAATTGGCTAAAATATCACACTAACTTTTCTCAGACAAGAAACTTTGGAAGGTGGGCAAGATGTATTTTAAAATATTGAAAAGTCTTTTAATACAATTTGATAATTTACTACCAGGCAAAAATGTCAGTGAGGTCAGGGAACTGCTGAAGAATTCAGAGTTGAAGTAGTTTTAACCCTGAAAATATTTGCAAAATCTGGGGAAATTAAGTCTATGTTCATATGACTTGAAGGGATATATGAAGAAAAAAACAAACCACATACAATTTAGTGTGTCACGTAATCCAGATATAAATCTGACCTTCCTACATACATGCAAGGTTAATCAAAGAAATTACCTTGGTGCTGAGTTATGCAGGAGTTAATAAAGGTCCCTGAGGAATTATAACTGAGATGGCCTTCCCATAGATTTTTTTTACATATAATTCATATTAGCTTTTGGCCAATAAAACCTGAAACCTTGATTTTAATTTAAAGTGGTCCTGGGCCAATAGCTCCCCTATGTTCATTTTGGCAACAAAGACAAAAATCCTATCTGGAGAATTGCACCTGTATCCTAGACCTTGGAAATTCCCAGAAATTAGGCTCTGAGTAAAATGAGCAACACACAGTTAGAAATCACTACTTTTCCCCAGCACTTTGGGAGGCCGAGGCGGGCGGATCACGAGGTCAGGAGATCGAGACCATCCTGGCTAACACGGTGAAACCCCGTCTCTACTAAAAATACAAAAAAATTAGCCTGGCGCGGTGGCGGGCGCCTGTAGTCCCAGCTACTCCAGAGGCTGAGGCAGGAGAATGGCGTGAACCCGGGAGGCGGAGCTTGCAGTGAGCCGAGATCGCGCCACTGCACTCCAGCCTGGGCGACAGAGCCAGACGCCGTCTCAAAAAAAAAAAAAAAAAAAAAAAGGAAAAAAGAAATCACTACTTTTGCAATGATTTTAAGGCCCCATAAACACAAAAAAGCAGATATGATAGGCAATTCATCAATTCACAAAATGTCTTATGTTGGTATTAGCTCCAACACTTAAAAACTAACATGAATCAGTGTATTTGAAGAAAAAATGAAAGTAAACTTTGAAAGTGTTTATAGAGAAAAAAATAACAGTAGATTTTTTTAAAAAATTGAATATTTAGAAATGGAAACTAACATAGAAATTAAACATTCACAAGAGAAACTTCTGCATCCAGTGATATAGCTGGTACTGTATATACCCTCTGAAGATTAATAACTATTGGACAATACTGTTTGCAGATATCAAACATGGAAGAGCATAGGGCTATATTTATTTCCCAAGAGAAGTACTCAGTTGGCATCAGTTATTCTCATATTTCCCCTTAAGACACTTTCCGGATTGGCCAGAAAGGGTAATACAAGCAAAAAACCCCGCTGTATCACTAACTAAAGGAGATTGAGTTTGAAAATCTGGGTGGGTGAGCCAAATAGAATTCTTGGGAAAAAAGAGAGGAGGAAGCTACACAGATAAAGAGCTCTGTAAATTCATAAAGGGTTACCTGAGTGTTTGGGTTAACAATCACTTGAAAATGTATGTGGTGAAATTGCCCAAGGCCAGGCAAAAATAAACCTATAGTGGGGAGAAAAGCAACAACCAACCAACCAACCAACCAATCAATCAAACAAACAAACAAACAAAAAACTGAAGAGCTATAAGCTAGAAATGTTTCCAGGATTTACACAGGGCTGAGGACTGTGTGAGTTCCAAATTAGCAGAATGAAGAGACATTGTTGACCAACATTAATTTAGTTAGGATAGACTTTGAAAGTGCTATTGTACCTTAGTAGTCCTAGAGCAAACTCTAGCTTATGCACTAACTACACTGAAAAATGAGGCTCTAGTGGATCAAATTGATCTGCAAGCCATTTAAATGCCTGACAATATATACTCTACAATCATTAAAATAAGACAACAAAATTCAAACAGTTTATAATGTAATATACCTATGTTCAATATCAAATAAAAAGTACTAGACATAATAATAAACAGGAAAATGTGACTCAAAGATAAGAGAAACATAAATCATAGAAAAAAACAGATAAAATTGGTATAAAATAGCTTTAAAACCTCTATTGAAAATGTGCTCAAAGATTAAAGGAAATGAGAATGTAAGAAAAAAGGAAATGAAAAATTTGAAGAGAATTAAATGGGAATGATAGTTGAAACAATCTGAAATGAAAACACATTGTATTGTTTGTCAGAAGATAGAAGATAGTGTAAGAAAGGATCATAAAGGCATGTCAATATAAATCATCCGAACTGAAACATGGAGAGAAAAGAAAATGAAAAAGAAATTTGCAAGGACTTAGAGACTTGTTGGAATATATCAAAGTGTATAGGATTAATGTTATTGAATTCCAAGAAAAGAGGAGGTACAGAAGAGATATCCAAGAATATAATAGCTGAAATATTTCCAAATTTGAAGAAAACTTTAAGCTACAGATTCAAGAACCTCAGTGATATCCCAAAATAATGAATGTAATGAAAGCCACACCAACACACATTATACAGATATTATAATCAAATTGCTGAAAACTAGTTAAAAAGATAAAATCTTTAGAGCCATCAGAGAAGAAGAAAGATACATTATTATTATTCTTATTAACTAGACTTGTATAGGGCAGCAGAAAGAAAAGGAGGAAGGGCCGGGCGCAGTGGCTCACGCCTGTAATCCCAGCACTTTGGGAGGCCTAGGCGGGTGGATCACCTGAGGTCAGGAATTCGAGACCAGCCTGGACAACATGGTGAAACCCTGTCTCTACCAAAAACGCAAAAATTAGCCGGGTCTGGTGGCGGGCACCTGTAATCCCAGCTACTCGGGAGGCTGAGGCAGTAGAATGGCTTGAACCCGGGAGGCTAAAGTTGCAGTGAGCTGAGATCGTGCCACCGCATTCCAGCCTGGGTGACAAGAGCAAAACTGTCTCAGAAAAAAAAAAAAAAAAAAGAAAAGAAAAAAGAAAAGGAGGGAAATAATGTTAATGCTTGAAGATAGCACACCTTTCCTTTTGCTAGACCTTTATTGTAGTAGTTTGTGTTGACTTGGTTGGGTTGAGTTTGATGTTTGTTGTTGCTATAATTACTCTCAGTGCACCAGAAGCTTTAAATCCTTCTAGTAATGTCTTTTTTTATGGTGGAGCAAAATTTGCAGAGAATTTTTCTTAACGTCCAGTGCCTGCTTGGCTTTATGCTTTTCATTGCATAAAAGTTGCATTCCACCGTTAATGTTTACCTTATCCTTATTTAGCATGGTTGTAGGGGAAGACTGTTGATATTCTCTGACTTTCTGATTAAGTCTCACTCTTAAGCAGGTAGTGTGAGTGTGTGTGTCTTGGGATGGTGTCCTTTACAAATCTTTCTACCTCTCATCCAGGTATATTGCTGGGCCTAGCACTTATTTCTGCTACAGCCCTAAGAATTTCTTTTTCCTGTTTCTCTTCCTCAACTACAGTGAACTTTGTCCTACGTGGAGCTTCCGTGTGCAGCATGCGGGAGATACCATTTCACTCCCAGCGGAAATGGGGTTCTGCTGTGTTATTAGGGTACAGTGTTGTCTTTCCACCTACAGAATAAGGCTGTGTTTAATACCAGAAACAAAGGAGACAGTTCTAGGTAGAGTTTGAGAAGTATCTGCTCTTCCCCTCCCACAGCTAGCATCACTAGGAAACTTTCTCAAGATTTGTATGTGTCTTACCTGTGGTAGTCTGGTAAAGTTCATGGAAGAAAAGTCTACTAGGGGGTATAAATCCCATATGTCTGCCACCTATGGGGACTTCATACTCTCACACTAGTCCCTACTTGATTTTTAGGAATTTGTTATTAATAACTAGCTGAATCTTCTTAGTGCCAATGTCATAAATATTACATTCATTGACATTTCTCCAAGGCAGTCAAATGCTTAGGTCTGGCTTCTCCATACAGGCATCTATCTCTATCCTGATATTTGGTAATTGTTTGCCCTGGACCTCAGCACTTTGATGGGATCAAGAAAAGTTGTTATTTTGCACTATATACAAATGCTTTTCTCATTGCAAACAGGGGAGTGATGCTCTTTACAACTCTCTATATCTCACAACAGAAACTGGAAGCTGAATTCCATCACACATGTTTTAGGTATCTTTAGGTATTCATCTAGGCATCAAAATTTGTATTAGTTACTTACTGCTCCTTTAAAAATGCCTCAAAATATAGTGGCTTAAAATACCACAAATTTACTTTCTAAATTTCTATGAGTCAGGATTCTGGATGTTATTTAGATGGATACCTCTGACTCACGGCCTTGAACAATGTCTCAATGAGAGTGTTAGAAGGGTCTGGGTCTCACCTGAAGCCTCAACATGGGAAGCTCACTCGTGTGGCTGTTGTCAGGATTTGGTTCCTCGTCTTTTGTTGGACTGAAAGCTTTTATTTCTCACTGGTTGAGACAGTTAGAGATATGGGAGGGAGAGAAGAGGGAGGAGAGAAGTGGGAGAAGGTGAGGGAGAGAGCAAGAAAGCATCCACATATTTTAGCAGGACAAATGCTAGAGGCTCTTACTGATCTTATTTCTTCTAAAGTGATATGCCATTACTTTTGTCCTGTTCCATTAGAAGTATATCAATGGCTACAGTACAAAATCAAGATAATAGGTGATATGATTTGGCTGTGCCCAAATCTCATCTTGAATTGTAGCTCCCATAATTCCCACGTGGCAGGTAGGGACCCGGTGGGAGAAAATTGAATCATGGGGGTGGTTTCCCATGCACTGTTCTATGGTAGTGAGTAAGTCTCATGAGATCTGATGGTTTGATAAGGGGTTTCCCCTTTTGCTTGACTCTCATTCTCTCTTGTCTACCACCACGTAAGATGTGCCTTTGGCCTTCCACTGTAATTCTGAGGACTCCTCAGCCACATAGAACTGTGAGACCATTAAACCTGTTTTTCTTCATAAAATATCCAATCTTGGGTATGTCTTTATCAGCAGCATGAAAATGGACTAATACAGTAAATTTGTACTGGCAGAGTAGGGTGACACTGTAAAGATGCCCAAAAATGTATAAGCAATTTTGGAACTGGGTAACAGGCAGAAGTTGGAACAGTTTGGAGGGCTCAGAAGAAGACAGGAAAATGTGGGAAAATATGGAACTTCCTAGAGACTTGGTGAATGGCTTTGACCAAAATGTTGATAATGATATGGACAATGAAATCTAGGCTGAGGTGGCCTCAGATGGAGATGAGAAATTTGTTGGGAACTGAAGTAAAGGTGACTCTTGCTATGCTTTAGCAAAGAGACTGGCAGCATTTTGCACCTGCCCTAGATGTATGTGGAATTTTGAACTTGAGGGAGAGAGCATAAAAGGGAAACAGAGCATAACAGTTTGGAAAATTTGCAGCCTAACAATGTGATAGAAAAGAAAAACCCGTTTTCTGAGGAGAAATTCAAGCTGGGTGCAGAAATTTGCATAAGTAACAAGAAGCCAAATGTTAATTACCAAGACAATAGGAAAAATGTCCTCCAAAGCCTGTCAGAGACGTTTGCAACAGCCCTTCCCATCACAAGCCCAGAGGCTTAGGAGGGAAAAATGGTTTCCTGGGCTGGGTCTAGGGCCCTCCTTCTGTGTGCAGCCTAGGGACTAGGTGACTGGCGTCCCAACCACTCTAGTCATGGTTACAAGGGGCCAAGGTACAGCTCAGACTATCGCTTCAGAGGGTGCAAGCCTGAAGCTTTGGCAGCTTCCACATGCTGTTGAGCCTGTGGGTGCCGAGAAGAACTGAGATGTGAAAACCACTGCCTAGATTTTAGAGGATGTATGGAAATGTCTGGATGTCCAGGCAGAAGTTTTCTGCAGTGGTGGGCCCTCATAGAGAACCTCTGCTAGGGCAGTGTGTAAGGGAAATGTGGGGTTGAAGGCCCCACACAAAGTCCCTGCTGGGGCACTGCCTAGTGGAGCTGTGAGAAGAGGGACACCATTCTCCAGAATCCATAATGGTAGATCCCCTGACAGCTTGAAGCGTGCACCTGGAAAAGCCACAGACACTCAACACCAGCCTTTGAAACCAGCCAGTGGGGAGGCTGTGCCCTGCAAAGCTACAGGGGCAGACCTTCCTAAGACCATGGGAACCCATTTCTTGCATCAGAGTGACCTGGATGTGAGAAATGGAGTCAAAGGAGATCATTTTGGAGCTTTAAGATTTGACTGCCCTGCTGGATTTCGGACTTGCATGGGGCTTTAGCCCCTTCACTTTGGCCAATTACTCGCATTTGAAATGGCTGTATTTACCTCATGCCCTTACCCTCATTGTATCTGGGAAGTAAATAACTTGCTTTTGATTTTACAGGGTCATAGGTGGAAGGCTCTTGGCTTGTCTCAGATGAGACTTTGGACTGTGGACTTTTGAGTTAATGCTGAAATGAGTTAAGACTTTGGGGAACTGTTGGAAAGGCATGTTTGGTTTTGACATGTGAAGACATAAGATTTGGGAGGGGCCAGAGGCAGAATGATATGGTTTGGCTCTGTCCCCACCCAAATCTCATCTTGAATTGTAGATCCCATAATTCCCATGTGTTGTGGGAGGGACCCAGTAGGAGATAAATGAATCGTGAAAGTGATTTCCCCTGTACTGTTCTCATGGTAGTGAATAAGTCTTACAAGGGCTGATGGTTTGACAAGGGGAAACCCCTTTTGCTTGGCTCTCATTCTCTCTTGTCTGCTGCTGTAAGAGGTGGCTTTCACCTTCCACCATGATTGTAAGGCCTCCCCAGCCACGTGCTACTGTGAGTTCATTAAACCCCCTTTTTAAAAAAAATTACCCAGTCTTGAGTATATCTTTATTAGCAGCATGAACACAGATTAATACAATAGGATTACCAAGGGTATGGATATCAGGGTGCAGAGAAAATTGAGAACAATTTTAGAGACTGCCTTTCTCAGAGCAGAGGAAGGAAATAATAAAGTTAAGAGTATATACTCGTGAACTAGGATTTAGAGAATGAGAAAAATCAGTGGATCTGGAAGTTGGCTGGTTCTTGAAAAATATTACTTAGATTGATAAATCTGAAGCTGGATTTACCAAGAATAAAAGAATTATTAAAGTATATATTGAGAACAAGGATAGAAATATACCTACAAATTCTACTCATGTTAAAAGAATAATACAATAGTAAAACAATGCTAATAAATATTACAACTTAGATAATATGGACAAATTCTTTGAATGACACAGATTATAACACTGACCCAAGGAGAAATATAAAATTCAAAAAATCTTTGTAGGCTCTCTAATGTGTTCTCTTCTTCCATTCCTGTTATTGTTCATTTGTTTCTTTTATTACTTACTTATTCATTGTTCATTGGTTGATTGGCTGGAGGTTTATAACTTCTATTGATTCTTTTTTTTTTTTTTTTTTTGAGATGGAGTTGCACTCTGTCACCCAGGCTGGAGTGCAGGAGTGCAGTGGTGTGGTCTCAGCTCACTGCAACCTCTGCCTTCCGGGTTCAAACGATTCTCCCACCTCAGCCTCCTGAGTAGCTGGGACTACAGGTGCATGCCATCACACCCAGCTAATTTTTGTATTTTTAGTAGAGATGGGGTTTCACCATGTTGGCCAGGCTGGTCTCAAACTCCTGACCTCATGATCCACTGGCAACAGCCTCCCAGCGTGCTGGGATTACAGGTGTGAGCCACTGCACCTGGCCTGATTCTTCCAAAGTAAGATATTTTTATTCCACTGATTTTCTTTGTTTCCTATGCTTTTTTTTATTAACTTTTCTTTTTATCATTAATTGTATGCTTCTATTTTTTCCAGATCTAACTTGTTCTTCTATTTCCGTTTCTTAAGTTGGAGAGTTAGCAATTGGCTCCTACTCCCTTTTTGAAATTATTATTGTTATTTTTCTTTTCAGGATCAGATCTGAAGGAGTATCTTCATGTTAGGATGTGCTATTCTCCTGGCAAAAGGAAAGTGCAAAAGGCTTGGTGGGTTTTTTAATGATTGCCATTCTAACTGGTGTGAGATGATATCTCATAGTGGTTTTGATTTGCATTTCTCTGATGGCCAGTGATGATGAGCATTTCTTCATGTGTTTTTTGGCTGCATAAATGTCTTCTTTTGAGAAGTGTCTGTTCATGTCCTTCGCCCACTTTTTGATGGGGTTGTTTGTTTTTTTCTTGTAAATTTGTTTGAGTTCATTGTAGATTCTGGATATTAGCCCTTTGTCAGATGAGTAGGTTGCGAAAATTTTCTCCCATGTTGTAGGTTGCCTGTTCACTCTGACGGTAGTTTCTTTTGCTGTGCAGAAGCTCTTTAGTTTAATTAGATCCCATTTGTCAATTTTGGCTTTTGTTGCCATTGCTTTTGGTGTTTTGGACATGAAGTCCTTGCCCACGCCTATGTCCTGAATGGTAATGCCTAGGTTTTCTTCTAGGGTTTTTATGGTTTTAGGTCTAACGTTTAAATCTTTAATCCATCTTGAATTCATTTTTGTATAAGGTGTAAGGAAGGGATCCAGTTTCAGCTTTCTCCATATGGCTAGCCAGTTTTCCCAGCACCGTTTATTAAATAGGGAATCCTTTCCCCATTGCTTGTTTTTCTCAGGTTTGTCAAAGATCAGATAGTTGTAGATATGCGGCATTATTTCTGAGGGCTCTGTTCTGTTCCATTGATCTATATCTCTGTTTTGGTACCAGTACCATGCTGTTTTGGTTACTGTAGCCTTGTAGTATAGTTTGAAGTCAGGTAGTGTGATGCCTCCAGCTTTGTTCTTTTGGCTTAGGATTGACTTGGTGATGCGGGCTCTTTTTTGGTTCCATATGAACTTTAAAGTAGTTTTTTCCAATTCTGTGAAGAAAGTCATTGGTAGCTTGATGGGGATGGCATTGAATCTGTAGATTACCTTGGGCAGTATGGCCATTTTCACGATATTGATTCTTCCTACCCATGAGCATGAGGATGTGGAGAAATAGGAACACTTTTACACTGTTGGTGGGACTGTAAACTAGTTCAACCATTGTGGAAGTCAGTGTGGCGATTCCTCAGGGATCTAGAACTAGAAATACCATTTGACCCAGCCATCCCATTACTGGGTATATACCCAAAGGACTATAAATCATGCTGCTATAAAGACACATGCACACGTATGTTTATTGCGGCACTATTCACAATAGCAAAGACTTGGAACCAACCCAAATGTCCAACAATGATAGACTGGATTAAGAAAATGTGGCACATATACACCATGGAATACTATGCAGCCATAAAAAATGATGAGTTCATGTCCTTTGTAGGGACATGGATGAAATTGGAAACCATCATTCTCAGTAAACTATCGCAAGAACAAAAAACCAAACACCGCATATTCTCACTCATAGGTGGGAATTGAACAATGAGATCACATGGACACAGGAAGGGGAATATCACACTCTGGGGACTGTGGTGGGGTCGGGGGAGGGGGGAGGGATAGCATTGGGAGATATACCTAATGCTAGATGACGAGTTAGTGGGTGCAGCGCACCAGCATGGCACATGTATACATGTGTAACTAACCTGCACAATGTGCACATGTACCCTAAAACTTAGAGTATAATAATAAAAAAAAAAACATTAAAAAAAAAAAAAAGGCTTGGTGGGAATATAAAATGGCTTTTAAAGCACCTGCTTTATCTCTGCCAACCTTTCAGTGTCCAAAGTAAATTGTATGGTGAAGCTCTACATCAGTAGGACAGGGAACCATATGTTTCCCATAGGAGGTGCTCTAAGTCAAATGAATGTGGGTATCTAATGTGGGTATTTAATGTGGTATTAATGTGGGTCTTTAATGGAAGGAGGAAATACCTCTTCTGACAAAAATGAAAGCTTTGACAATGTCACCATTGTATTAAAACTGCTTTCATCATTTTAAGAACACAATTTAAGAAACAATAGGAGCATTTAAGTGTTCTTTTTTCTAAACTTTTCTGTGTACTTTTTCACTATTGACTATTTTCTTCTATTCAAAACTTTCTATTTTCTTGTCTGTTTTTTCAATTATTCATAAGACTAATGCTTCTATCATGTCTCCATATTTTCTCAGAAAATTGAACTCTATTTTTTTATCTGGTTATGCCTTTTCCCCCACATTCCACACATAGTAAATCTCTTCTTTTTTTCTGAATTTAGAATATATTTTTAAATAATTAAATTTTTCTACTTTTAAAGTAATACATATTTAATAAAGAGTTCTTGAAAATTAGAAAAGTACACAAGCACACATACCCACAAAACATAAATGCATACAAAATATGTTTTCTATTATCTTCTTTTATTAATATTCTTTACTCTTTACATTGCTAAGGTTTGATTCACTAGAAGTTTGTTTTTTTAATATATATGGGTCTTTTAATTAAAAACCTCATACTATGTAGCTTGTTTCTTTATATATATAAAATCATTTTCATGTAAATATGGTATTTCTCAAATATGATTTGAATGTCTTTGTATTATTCTATTTCAATATATTTTTATAATTATTTATCAACTTACATTTCTACATTATGTGGTTTCTTGCTTTTATGTTGTTATAAATGACACTGCAGCACACAGGATTTTTGTACATGTGCATGCTCATATGCATAGCCTTACTATATTTGTACATATCTTTATTATCATAATTAACTTTAAGATACATTTGTAAATAGATATATTTTTCAGAGTTGTAGACAATTTCCATAAGAGAAGAATGTAATAATTTACCCTATCTAAAAGCATATGCTGATTTCCATTTTATTTCCTTGACAAAGCCAGATATTACTTTTTGTTTTAGTAATCTAAAGTAATCTAAGAGGTAAAGTTTAATATACAATTTGATTGTGTGTTTAATTTATGACAATTATGGTTAACATTTTTCCATATATAATTGCACATTTGCAATTATGAATGATTTTTTAAAGTTCATTGTTAACTGGGCTACTTTTTCTTATACATGCAATACTTATAAGTGTACAAACAATTTTTCATATCCAGTTTTTGAATTACAAAAGTGATAGAAGCTTATTGGAAATATCTAAATGCACTAAGGCATTTAAAATAATATCAGTAGTGTAGATTTTATGCAAAATTGGACAGAGTAAGCCTGAATCTCTGGGACTTCCTCCCCTAATGAAATATAAGAAAAAGTGGTTGAAAACATTTTCAGCAGCAGCACCTCCCCCCCAAAAAATGACTAATTTTATAAGAAACCTTTAAAAACAGGAAGGCTAATTGAGATCAGCATCAGGACTTGAATTCCTGCTCCTTTCTCTATTCCAAAATTCTTCAGTGAAATGAGCTATATCAACAGAATTGTGAGCATTTCCTCTAATGTGAATGTCTAGCAGAAGAGACAGAAGTCAAGAAAATCATGTTGAGAACAGAAAAACTAAAAACCTTTAGAGACTCTGAGAAGAGATGGAATAGGCTGATGAAGGTTACTACAGTTCAGTGATCCTCACTAAATTTGAGGAAAGCACCAAAGTCCATATGTATGAAATACATCCTTTCCTGAGTCAAGTATAGCCTGGGTTTGATTATTAAGTAAAAATCTTAGGAGAGAAAACAAAGCCCAGATATCCAAGGGATGCACAAATTGCCATAAAATTCACTTTAAACCTTCACATTAAACCCACATAAAATGTGCTTAAATTCAAGAATGTGTTGGATGTTGTAAAATGGAGAATTATATGGATAATTTAGAAAGTAGTGTAGAAAAGTAATGAAATAAATAATTGCCAAGAAATTTCCCAAATGTAATGAAACACAGAAATTTACAGCTACAGGTTATTAAATGAACACCAAAGAAGCCCATGATATAAGACAATAATTCAGTAACAAAATGGCAAGCCACAGACTGGGAGAAACATTTGCAAAGTATGTATCTTACAAGGGAAATATACACAGAACATGCAATAAAACATCAATAAAAAGACAACATATGTTAATAGACATGTCACAAAAGAAGATTTGCATAAGGCAGATAAAGAACTTGAAAAAAATATCATCTGAACAAATGCAAATTAAAACAACAGTGAATGTTCTGTTAAAAATGTAGGAAGCTGGAAAGGGCATTTTCCCCAAAGTTACAAAATCATGAAAATAGCTAAATGACCTACAAAATTACAACTTTTCTTGAACCCATCACAAAGCTGAGCTTTTAGGGTATCCAATAACCTAAAATAGAAGAAAACAGAGGAGGCTCCACGGTGATATGGGATATAATTGATTGCTTATCTTGGACAGATGCCAGATATTGTACAAAACTGAGACTGTCTGTTTCCCTTCACCACATTACTGTCCCCATCCTAAAGACAAAGTAACATGTATGGATTTTGAAGCCTGTGGTCTTCTAAGGTGCTACCATAACAACCACAATGCCAAACCTTGATCTAATCATAACTACAGTTGACTCTTGAACAAAAGGGGTTTGAACTGTGTGAGTCCACTTATACATGAACTTTCTTCTGCTTTTCGTACCCTGACACAGTGAGGCAAATTCTTTTTCCTCTTCCTCATCAGCCTACTCAATGTGAAGACAACAAGGATGAAGACCTTTTTGATGATCCACTTCCACTTAATTAATAGGAAATAATAAACCTATGTTCTCTTCCATATGATTTTCTTAATAACATTTTCCTACTCTAGCTTACTTTATTAAGAATATAGTATATAACAAAGTTAACATACAAAAAATGTGTTAATCTACTGTTTATGTGATTGGTAAGGCTTCTGATTAACAGTAGACTAGCTAGGTAGTTAAAATTTTAGGGAATCAAAAGTTATATGTGAATTTTTCACTTTGTAGAGGGTCAGTGCTGCCAATCCTTGTGTTATTCAAGGATAATCTGTATATTGACTCAATCCCCTGCATGCTGAAGAGCTAGCAAAAGAAGAGTTCTCATCATTTCCAGGCATAAGAAGGGTGCTATGGACCTTAGTCTAAACAAGATGTCTTGCTTTGGACAAGAATAATAATAATGATAAGAAGCACAAGAACAACAAAATTACAAAACATGGAAAAAAAGGAAGGAAAAAACAACAATAAAATGTCAACAGACAAATCAATCAACAGAACCAGACTCAAATATGAAACTTTTCTAATATTTTCTAGTATCCCTTGACAAAAAGTTTTTGCCAAGGCAAAACTTTGCCATTAGCAAAAAGTTTTTGCCAAGGCAAAACTTTGCCATTAGCAAAAAGTTTTTGCTAATATTCCTTGCCAAAAAGTTTTTATAGACATAAAGATGGAAATAATAGACATTGAGGACTGTAAGAGGAGGAGTACAGAAGGGGGCAAGAGTTGAATACTATAAAATGGATACTGTGCTCACCACCTGGGTAATGGGTTCCAAAGTACCCCAAACCTCAGCATCATGAAATACAGCCTTGTAACAAACTTATCCATGTACCCATGAATCTAATAGAAAAGTTGGGAAAAAAGGTGTTTTTTTTAATTTTCAAACATTTTGATATTTTCCAGATGTCTGCCTGATTTAATTTCTATTGAATTAAAAAATTATTTGGTATCAAAACTTCTATGTTTACTGGGATATGTTTAATGACAGAGCATATGGTCTTTGTGATTGTTCCACACGTACTAGAAAGAAATATGTATGCTGCTGTTTGTAGCACTACAAATCAATTGGGCCAATTTGTTTGATTGTGTTGTTCAAGTATTATATAACTTTTATAACTTTCTGCCTTCATGTTTTTTCAATCACTCACAGAGAAATGTAGAAACATTCAACTGTTTTCCAAAGTTTAAAATTTTTTTTCTGTTCTGTTTTTGCTACAAGAGAATACTTAACTATAGGAGATATACACTTCACAGAATACTTAAGACAAACATTTAAAAAAATGAAAATTGTTTAAGAAAATGGCATGGATACTGTCCTAATCCATTTGGTGTTGCTGTAACAGGATACCTGAGGCTGTGTAATTCATTAAGGAAAGAGGTTAGTTTAGGTCATGAATCTATAGGCTAAGAAGTTCAAGATTGAGTAGCTTCATCTGGCAAATTCTGTTGACAGATCCTTCATAGCATGGTAGAAAAACAGAAGGGGCAAGAAAGCACTCATGAAAAAGACAAAACATGAGGAGGGGTGGCATTGCTTTGTAACAATCCATTCTCATGGTAATTAATTTCATTTCTCAAGAGAACTCACTCACTCCTGAAAGATTGCTTTAATCCTTTCATAAGGGCAGATCCCTCATGAACCAAAGGCCTCTTAAAGTTCCCACCACATCTCATCATTATATGGGCAATTAAATTTAACGTGAGTTTTGGCAGAGATGAACCAATATGAAACCGTAGCAGATATATACTATACTTTATTAACATTATTATTACCTTACTGCACTTCATCTGTGATAATAGAAATAATGATACAGTGGTGACTATAGTTCACTTGATTCTTATGGTATAATTGGCACAATTTTTAAGCAGTTTTATACCCTGCCTCCCAAGTTTTGATGAATCCACATTTCCTGGCCTTATGCTTTGTGTTTTGAGAAGCTGCTGGGAATGTAGATTATTTGTTTCCTGGCATTGAGATGGGATGTTCCTAGTTTCTGGATCCCATGTACTTCACATTTTACAGAAATAGCTCAAAGATTTTTAAAATTGCTTGTTAAAAGTTCTCTTCCCTTTATTAAGCACTGCTACATACAAAAAAGCTTATTTTTACATTTCTTTTGCAGTGGGGATTTTATAGATAAGTTAAATCCTTGGGATCATACCACTTTCCTAAAACAAAAATCTTCTACAGACTTGTTAAATGATCAAATCAATAAATACCCAGAAAATATAAGCTTTAGGAATATAATTAGAAGCAAATCTACGTAACAATCCAAGTCGGCAAATAGTATCCACAATTTATGTCCCTTATCACATAAAGAATAATGGGCAACATGGCATTTCATAGAGGAAAGTACAGTCTCAATAGCAATTAACAAAATACAAATTAAAGAATTTTAAGAAACAATGGTATTTTTATTAAGCTAGAAAACAAAACAAAATGTAAATACAACATATTGGCTTTCTGGGTACATGCAATTTATATGTCTCTTATGGCACTTTAAATTTGCTATACTTTTTTTTTCTAGAATTAAATTGAACAATAAAAGATGGAACCAACAAACTTATCTATACACTTTAAAACCTCATTTTCCCTTTAGGAATATTCTTCCAGAAGATTATACTTCAAGAAATAATCTTAAAGTAATTTAGGCAAAGCTTTTATGATCTCACTGCTACTATAAAATAGTGAGAAATGTACCAAATGCCCAACGGTAATATCATATTTATGTAATGTGTACCCTATGTTAAAAGATGGAAATAGTTACAGAAAATGCTAATTAATGTGAGACAAAGTGTTATGAACTCAATAATGCTAAATTATGTGTAGATATATATAAATATTACAAGGCTTGCATTATATGTTGAAGACAATCAAATAATCCAGAATCACTATTCAGAAGGTCTATCAGTTTATATAATTTTCTAATTTTAAAGGTTAATACTATTTTCTACTAATTTTAATATAAATAAACTCAAATGCAAAAACTCAAACTTCCTTCGAAACAAATTTTGCTTCTAATTGTTGTATATACATTTAAGCAAAATGACATACATATTTAAATAACAGTTGCTTTTTTCAATTTTGTCATTTTGAAATTTAAAAATATTTTTAAAAACAATAAAAAATTGCATAAAAATGTAATGGAAAGAAGCAGGAGGTTATAAATCTTAAGGATCATCACACTGAGCTGCTGATTAAGAGAATCACTGTGTTGTTTCAGAGACAATAGGCTTTCTCTTGCAATTACCATCATTTTCCCCAGTTTCTGATTATTTGCAAAACAATAACCATTTGGGCAGTAGTTAATCGTTTCTCTTCAAACATTTGACACATTCTTCATTACTTTTAGTGGATGTGAGTCTTTTACTAAACCACAATTATAATTAAGACTGAGGAAATCATTAGGCTTGTTGTAAACATTCAGTTTATCCAAATAGAGTTTGGCAACATTTTAAAGGTCTTCTGTCAGGTTCATTCAATGTTTAATTATTTGTTGTCGATGTTGAATTCTAGCATGATTGTTGTCATTTGTCATTATGCTCTATTGGAGTAAGTCAACCAATTTTATTTTTTATTTCTGAGCCACTTATACTTAAAATAACAGCAAATACTATGTTTAAGTGTTTATTCACTTCTTCTGTTATTAATATAGTGGATGCCAAGAAGTATTGTGATTCTATTCATTTTCTAATCAAATAAGGATTTAGCATTTGCTATGGACCAGTTTCAGTGAGAAAAAGATTAAAATGAAACCTCATTTCTGACCTCAAGTCTTACATTCTTTTTTATTTATTTATTTTTTTACTGTAAGTTCTGGGATACATGTGAGGAACGTGGAGGTTTATTACATAGGTATGCACGTGTCATGGTGGTTTGCTGCACCCATCAACTCGTCATCTACATTAGGTATTTCTCCTAATGCTATCTTCTCCTAGCCCCACACCCCCAACAGGTCCCGGTGTGTGATGTTTTCCCTTCCCTGTCCATGTGTTCTCATTGTTCAACTCACGAGTGAGAGCATGTGGTGTTTGGTTTTCTGTTCCTGTGTTAGTTCACCGAGAATGATGGTTTCCAGCTTCATCCATTTCCCTGCAAAGGATATAAACTCCCCCTTTTTATGGCTGCATAGTATTCCATGGTGTATATATGCCACATTTTCTTTATCCAGTCTATCACTGATGGGCATTTGGGTCAGTTCCAAGTCTTTGCTATTGAGAACAGTGCTGCAATAAACATATGTGTGCATGTGTCTTTATAGTAGAATGACTTATAATCCTTTAGGTATATACCCAGTAATGGGATTGCTGGGTCTAATGGTATTTCTGGTTCTAGACCCTTGAGGAATCGACACACTGTCTTCCACAATGGTTGAACTAATTTACACTCCCACCAACAGTGTAAAAGCATTCCTATTTCTCCACATCCTTTCCAACATCTGTTGTTTCCTGACTTTTTAATGATAGCCATTCTAACTGGCATGAGATGGTATCTCATTGTGGTTTTGATTTGCATCTCTCTAATGACCAGTGCTGATGACCTTTTTTTCATATGTTTGTTTGCCACATAAATGTTTTCTTTTGAGAAGTGTCTGTTCATATCCTTTGCCCACTTTTCGATGGGGTTTTTTTTTCTTGTAAATTTGTTTAAGTTCCTTGTAGATCCTAGATATTAGCCCTTTGTCAGATGGATAGATTGCAAACATTTTCTCCCATTCTGTAGGTTGCCTGTTCACTCTGATGATAGTTTCTTTTGCTGTGCAGAAGCTCTTTAGTTTAATTAGATCCCATTTGTCTATTTTGGCTTTTATTGCCATTGCTTTTGGTGTTTTAGTCATGGAGTATTTGCCCATGCCTATGTCCTGAATGGTATTGCCTAGGTTTTCTTCTAGGGTTTTTATGGTTTTAGGTCTTATGTTTAAGTCTTTAATCCATCTTGAGTTAATTTTTATATAAGGTGTAAGGAAGGAGTCCAGTTTCAGTTTTCTGCATATGGCTAACCAGTTTTCCCAACACCATTTATTAAATAGAGAATCCTTTCCCCATTGCTTTCTTTTGTCAGGTTTGTCAAAGATCAGATGGTTGTAGATGTGTGGTGTTATTTCTGAGGCTTCTGTTCTGTTCCATTGCTCTATATATCTGTTTTGGTACCAGTTCCATGCTGTTTTGGTTACTGTAGCCTTGAGGTAGAGTTTGAAGTCAGGTAGTGTGATGCCTCCAGCTTTGTTCTTTTTTCTTAGGATTGTAGATATGTTCCGTGAATACCTAGTTTATTGAGAGTTTTTACCATGAAGGGGTGCTGAATTTTATCGAAGATCATTTCTGCATCTACTGAGATAATCATGTGGTTTTTGTCACTGGTTCTGTTTATATGATGGATTACATTTATCGATTTGCATATATTGAATGAGCGTTGCATCCCAGGGATACTGCTGACTTGATTGTGGTGGATAAGCTTTTTGATGTGCTGCTGGATTCAGTTTGCCAGTATTTTATTGGAGATTTTCGCATTGGTGTTCATCAGGGATATTGACCTGAAATTTTCTTTTTTTGTTGTGTCTCTGCCAGGTTTTGATATCAAGATGATGCTGACCTCATAAAATGAGTTAGGGAGGAGTCCCTCTTTTTCTATTGTTTGGAATAGTTTCAGAAGGAATGTTACCAGCTCCTCTTTGTACATCTGGTAAAATTCAGCTGTGAATCCATCTGGTCCTGGGCTTTTTTTGGTTGGTAGGCTATTAATTACTGCCTCAATTTCAGAGCCTGTTATTGGCCTATTCAGGGATTTGACTTCTTCCTGGTTTAGACTTGGGAGGGTGTATGTGTCCAAGAATTTATCCATTTCTTCTAGATTTTCTAGTTTATTTGCATAGAGTTGTTTCTAGTATTCTCTGATGGTAATTTGTATTTCTGTGGGATCAGTGATAGGATCCCCACTGTCAATATTAGACAGATCGATAAGACAGAAAATTAACAAGGATATTCAGGACTTGAACTCAGCACTGGACCAAGTGGACCTAATAGACATCTACAGAACTCTCCACCCCAAATCAACAGAACATTCTTCCCAGGACCACATCACACTTATTCTAAAATTGACCACATAAGTGGAAGTAAAAAACTCCTCAGCAAATGCAAAAGAATGGAAATCATAACAAATAGTCTCTCAGATGACAGTGCAATCAAATTAGACTTCAGGATTAAGAAACTCACTCAAAACCACACAACTACGTGGAAACTGAACAACCTGCTCCTGAATGACTACTGGGTAAATAAACAAGTATTATTTAAGGCAGAAATAAATACATTCTTTGAAACCAATGAGAACAAAGACACAATGTACCAGAATCTCTGGGACACAGCTAATGCAGTATTTAGAGGGAGATTTATAGCACTAAATGCCCACAGGAGAAAGTGGGAAAGATCTAAAATCCACATCCTAACATCACAGTTAAAAGAACTACCGAAGCAAGAGCAAACAAATTCAAAAGCTAGCAGAAGACAAGAAGTAACTAAGATCAGAGTAGGACTGAAGGAGATAGAGACACGATAAACCCTTCAAAAAATCAATGAATACAGGAGCTGGTTTTTTGAAAAGTTTAACAAAATAGACCGCTAGCCAGACTAATAAAGAAATAAAAGAGAAGAATCAAATAGACACAATAAAAATGATAAAGTCTCTTACATTCTAGTGCATTGATAACATCATGTATGCAATGTGCCAGGTAAAACCTAGAGAAATCTGTTTAAATCCCAATCAGGAAAATGATTTCTGAGACATATTTTTCTCCTCTGACTTTTTATAGAATATGTTGAGAGGATAGATCAGAATTTTTTTACACAATTAAATGTTGTTTGGAATATCCAGTTTCATCTGATTATACTCATTCTGCTTTTGGCGAATCTTCAAGGATTCCATAAAGAATGTGGAAACTTGCTAGACAATGTTTCCTTTCTCTTAAATATATGTGGTAAGAAAACTGTTGGAGATTTCACTTAAGACAGTCTCCTCCCTAACATACTTTCAGACAGGCAGACTGGCAGGTTTCATGTCAGCCATCCAGTTTCTAAGACTTAAATAGTGAAAAAATGTTTGCCCTATTTTGTTTGACATAAAAATTTAAAATGTTGGTAAACACAGTAACAAACATTCTGCTTCACCAAAGCCTAGGCTGTTTGGTGAATTGGAGTGATTATTGAATATTGCACTTCTCACGAGCATCCTCAGGCAATGTTTGGATCTTTAAATTTCACAAAAGGGATCATAGTCTGGGATAATATTCTTTAGTTTCATTTTAGTAATATGTGATCAGTTTTAAGAATAAAATTAAAGACATTATTTAAAATAGTTGAAAATCTCTTTGAAGGGTTAATTCTTCCAAAGTACCCCCTTGATTAAAATAATTTTGATACTTTACAGTTGTTTAAGGCTTTTTTCAAAGGCCCTTTCTAGAGAAATTAAATCATTTTGTTACTAAATTTACGGAGACAACTTACAATAAATTTTTGTGTAACTTGTTAGCATATATTTATTTTAATACATAAGACAGTAACACAATCCAAACTTTTACTGTATATCAGGCAAGATGTTGGTGTTCAACTGTGGTTACACCTTAAGATCATGTGGAGAAATTTTGAAAAAATATGGATGCATTTACACAATCACAGAACATTTAGTAATAAGACCATTGTATGGGCATTTTCAAATTTCTCAATTATTTGCAATGTGAAGTCAGTTTTGGAAACCTCTTTGGTGAGAGTAATCTATCCATAGTCAGTCTGCAGATGATCAGAAAGGAGCCACGGTTTTAGACTGACTGTGGGATAAAGTACCATTTTAGGAAACAATGCCAATAAAAACTATTAAAATTAAATTAATGTACATCAGCAACCTCAGCCATCATATCACCTGGATCACTCCCCAAAGAGGAATACTGGTAGAATTCAGTTTGGTAGGGAATCAAGAAAAGATGGTTTTAACAAAATTGCATTAAGAAAAATAAGGTACTTATTCAACTATTCTGTTGACCAGAGTATAGATGTGTAAAGGCTTCAAAAATACATTCATTAAAGAGTAGAGCTTCAACCTTTACTTATTTGCAGTCATTTTTATCTACAACACACTCTTACTCAGATACCAGAGACTTATACCCATGCTCTCGACAAAGTATAAATTCTATGAGAAGAGGGGACACAGTAAGCAACTATTCTATTAATATCTAATACTAAGTTCAAAAATTTTAGAACTGTTTAGAACTGGGTGATTAGTAACAAAAATCTTTTATTTAGGAGTTATTCTTAGCAGTTCAATTATTTGTATATGGTCCTGAGCAAAATTAGTACCCTAAACTATTTTCACCAGTATTTTAAATGGCCATTAGTGAAGATGAAATTGCAAGCTCTCTGGTGTATACAAATTATAGTAAAGATTTTTTTGTTTGTTTGTTTTCCATTTTTTGTCCTATAAAGAACATAGCCCACAAAAGCAGTGGTTTGTAAAGAGCATGGGTTTAGAAGGCAGACAGATCTGTGTTTTAATCATACTTAGCTATTTACTAGTTGTGTGATGTGTGACAAGGTCTTCATGCTTTAGTTTAAGTTCAACAGTTGTAATTGCTGCTTTAGAGTTGCCATTATTATTCCTCTTTTTTTAACCAGCCCTTTAAATATCTGCAGACTTCAAAGTTTATTAATTATTTTTGTCCCTTTCCACATTCTTCTTATTAAATTCATCTGATCTCAGATTCAGATGGTGTCTCCAGGTTGAAGATATGATCATAGCCAGATCATAGCCTTGATGTTTGTATTAACATAAATATCAAATTATATCCCGGAAACATCTACTTAAGTCTCCAAGAATCTTAAATTTCAATGTATCCAATATTAAATTTGCCACCGTTTCTCAAATTACATCCCTTGAATTTAGTTTGGCATTGGACTAATATGGTTACGTGTGCTATGAACCTAGGCCTCAAGAAGGCTTGGACCTTCCTTCTTTCTTCTTGAGACTCTGTAATGATGTGTGACTAAGCCCAGAGCAGTCTACTAGAGGATTAGAGAACATGTGGAACACAGATAAGTTATTTAGGTGGAGCAATGCTACCACCTGCTCCAACTAGCCAACCCCAGCTGTCCTGGGAGCTGACAGTGGACTCATGAGTGGAGCCAAACAAGACAAGTAGAAGAATCATCCAGTTGAGTCAGACCAAGTTGCCAACCCACAGAAACTTGAGCTACATATATAGTTGTTGCTTTAAGTCACTAAATTTTAGGTGGTTTTTTGTGAAATAAACTCTGACAAGCTGAGTATAACACATTGGATGCACTTTAAAAAATCAAAATTGCAATGGATCTATCACTTATGATTCTAGAAAGTATATAGAGTATGTGAAACCGCTTACTTCAAGATCACTAATAACCACTTTACTGGTTTCTTGTCCTAGCCTCAGCTTTGAAACAGCTCATCACCTATCACTTTCTCCTCCTTGATATTTTTTCTTTCGTGTCTTTTTAGACACTATATTTTATTATTTCTTTCATCTAAATTATATGTTACTCATTCTCAGCCTCCTTTGCTGGTCCTTCATCTTCCCCAAATTCTAAATCCTCTTCTTTATCTCAAGTCCTTCCCTGGGTAACTTCATTCAGTCTCATGATTTTGAATAACACATATATGCCAACAACTCTGCAAGTTATATCCCCAGCCCTGACATTGCTCCTGATCTACATGTCTCTGTTTCAATATTTAACTGACATTCACACTCCATATCTGAAAATAAAATTTCTTTCCTTCAAAACTTGCTCCACAGTCTTCTCCATCTTTGTTAATGATAACTTAATTTTTTCAGTTTGAAAAATTTGGAGTCATCCTTAATCCTCCTCTCTTATTTTTATACCTGCATCTGATTCCTCAGGAAACCCTGTTGGTTCTTTAACCAAAATTTTGACAGAAACAGGCCATTTCTCATTATCTCATCCCTACTCCTACCCTAGCTACCCTTTTATTTGGAGCCTTCATCATCCTTTGCCTGGATTACTGATGTAGCCTCATAGTTCTGCTCCCTGATTCTAATCTTTCTTACTTTCAAGAGCAGCCAGTTGATGCTTTCAAAAGATAAGATCACCTCAGTCCTCAGTTCCAGCTTTTGAAATCATTGTCCATCTTACTCAGGGTAAAATCCATCTCACCCAGGATCAGTGTGATATTATGTGGTCCTCTGCAACTTCCCTGACTCATCTTGTTCTACTAATATTCTTGTCTCTCAACTGCACATTAACTTCATTGAGTGTTCTTCAAACAGGCCAGGCAAGCAAGCCTTTACTGTAGCTACTACCTCTATCCCTAATTCTTTTCCTAGCAAACCTCTTACTTAAATCTCTCACCTCCATCAAAGCTTTACTTTAATATCATCTCATTGCAGACTACATTGACCACACTTACTTAAATCTGCAACCTTTTCAGTGTTCCTTTCCTACCCTACTTTTTCATGTTTTTCCTCCTAACCAGAATGTAAATTCCACAGAGACAGAGATCTTTGGCTCATGGAAGCATCATGTAACATAAAGCATTAGCTATATATTTGTGGAAAATATAAATAAAGTTTATTTAAAAGAGGTATCATTATATGTAGTTTTTTTTTAAATTAAACTTTATATTCTGGAGATTTCGCATGGCTTTTAAATATTATTTAAGTATTTTAAATAGTACAACTTTATTCAGTGTTTATTGGAGTTAAGCTTCACATTATTACATATAATACATGAAAAAAATCTTTCAAATGAGTGCATGTATTAGAATAAGTTCAGTAAGAAAATTTGATGGATCAGAGGGTATGAACATTTTAAAGTCACATATTTTTCCTAAATGCAAATGTAATTAATGCTCAATACTAATCTCATTTTAAAAAGTGAAAATTACATCATAGGTAAATGAATAAATGACAAGTGACTGTTTTATAATCTTTCCACAAAATAATAAATCAAGTGCAATCATATAACATCAAAATATATTCCAGAATTTTGATTAAATTCTTCTGACATTTGCCTTACATTAAGGGAAATAATACCTGAATACAATTTAATATGCTGCATAAAATCAGGAGCTAGATTAAAGTTAGAATTCTGTGTTTTCAGCAATTATTTTTATATGAATATATTTCAGAAATGAAATTGATCTAGAGGTAAAAATTAATAAGATTAATATTTAAAAGCCTATAAAATATATGATTATATAATGAATTCACTTTCTTGACATTTTGTATCAGCTATTTTCTCTAAGAATAAATGACATATGTTGAAGAATGAATAATTTAGTTTATTAATCAAAATAATAAAATACGTACTGCCTAAAAAATTCCCCTGACAATCCTGAAAATGCAGTCATAACTGTTTTTTTCAGCTTTTTAAAAATTGTAAGAAATACACAAACTATTGCAGAATAAACATGAAAAAACATTTTTAATTGTTCTTATCTATTGTTTTGGTTAATGTACATTTTCTAGGGATTTTCTTTTTTATGGAAATCAAACAATTTTGCTCACCTAGACCTTTCTTTTATTTTTTAAGGCAATGCTGAAAGGTGTTTATGTAAGTACAAGACTTATTTTTCCCTGACAGCTTGATTCACACTGATTTCCTCCTTCCAAAACTTCTTTTGTAACTTTTGTCTGAATCGTAAAGTTAGCAACTCTACCTGTTTTCTTTTTCAACATGGACTCCAAGCAAAATAGAGTTTGCAAAGGTTGTCTGATATCTTCTTCACTTCTCCTATTTATACACTATTCTTTCTTTGTAGCAAGTCTCTCACTCAGAAACTCTAAAATATCTTTTCCATAAAATGTTTCAGCATGAATGTAAATATAAAAATGTAATTTTTTTTCTTCCAATCTTTGCCATATTAACTTTTCACTAATTTTTTGATAAAAGATTCTGTTGCTTAAAGGGAGAAAACAGTTTTCATAAAAGTCTTTTCAGTGGGAATTATTCAGTGATCATAAAATGATCTTATAACATCCCTCTTACTTCTCCTTAAGTATGAATCCTTCCTGGATATAGAGGTTACTTTTCTTCAGATGGGAATTTAAGAGTTGTTTTTACAAGTCACATGTAAGTTCACAGAGGAAGAGAATGACTTTTTGCCTTTTATGCCTTTAGCACCACATACAATGGATGTCCGTGTGTCTACTAATATACATACAAATAGACAAAAAATATTGGTTTTTTAAAATTTCTATGGATTAGGAATATCAGAGGGAATATGTCCTCTGGTTTGGGGAAACATAATTATAGATATCTCTTTATGTCCATATGCCCCAAAAGTACAGTTTAATATTTCTATAAATTATTTTATAAAATTGCCGTAAAACACAATAATTGAAATAATAGTATAATAGAAAACAAAAAATATTTAATATTTTATATTTAATATTATATATAATATAAAATATTTAATTTTAATAGAAAGAAGAATCTGAAATGAGAAAGATTGCTAAACTTCATATACGTTTTTGTCAAAACAGTATTATTTTTTACAAAGCAGTCTCATACGCTTTCCATTGATTTCTAAAATCTAGATGTATTTTGTTAAAACTCAGAGGGTTTGTGACTGCTTCAACCAATTAAGTATGGCAGGTTTGAGGCAAGATGACTTCTCATAAATGTTTCCACCTGGGTTACTTGGTATCTCACTCGGGAAAGAGTCAACTTCCATGTATAATGTCAGTTTATCCTGAGACAGCATGCTAGTCAGCAGACTAGCTAAGCTCAGCCTTCTTTTCATTTCCAGTCATGTGAGTGAAGTCCTCTTGGATGTTCAGACCAGCTCATCCACTAGCTGAGTGCCACTACGTGATCTCTTTCTGTGACATAAGGAACAGAAGAATTGCTTAGCTGAGCCCTGTGCAAATTGATGACCCACAGAATCTGTGATATATATTGGAATGGCTATTTTTCTGAGTTGTTAGGTTTGTAATAACTTTTAATATAGAGATAGCGAAATAGAATTGTGACAAATTTGAAAATGAAAAACCTCAAGGAGCTTAAAGAACTGTGATACATAAACATCTTTAACCAAACCAAGTTGTGGAATACAAGCACATGTGAAACAGGCACAGATAGCATGAGGTCCAAATTAAAGATAAGCCAAGGGCTCTGAGAAAAAATAAATAAATAAAGTATAGCTGGGCGCGGTGGCTCATGCCTGTAATCCCAGCACTTTGGGAGGCTGAGGCGGGTGGATCATGAGGTCAGGAGATCCAGACCATCCTGGCTAACACGATGAAACCCCGTCTCTGCTAAAAATACAAAAAATTAGCCGGGTGTGGTGGCGGGCGCCTGTAGTCCCAGCTATTTGGGAGGCTGAGGCAGGAGAATGGTGTGAACCCGGGAGGCGGAGCTTGCAGTGAGCCGAGATCCTGCCACTGCATTCCAGTCTGGGTGACAGAGCAAGACTCTGTCTGAAAAAAAATAAATAAATAAAATAAAAAAATTAAAAAATCATAAAACAAATTCTTTATTACAAATGAGGTAATAAAAATAATAGATAATTTTGACAAGAATAAGAAGAGGCATTTTCATGTTACTTATAAATTTATTGTAAACCATCACCTTTCTGATCTAATTAATTCCCCTTATTCTATCAGTTTTTCTTAGGTATATTTTTTAAGAAAAATATCTAATAAAAATTGGCTATATTGCTCATTTCCTAAAGTCTAAAATGAATACTGTATGTTTGTATGCACACATTATATATATATATATATATATATATATATATATATATATATACACACACATATAAACAATGTACTATTTAAAAATGTAACAATGTGAATACTGGTTATTTATTTACAATTTAGAAAGCTAAGTTATACATTAAAGATAGAAAGATTCATTATGGTTCACTATGGTTACATAATAAAATGGAAATGCTATAAACTTTCCTGGTTTGAAAGTAGTATTATCTTGGAAGAAAGTTTGGTGTTGCAGGCATAGGCTTCCAGTACAATAGAGAAACAAATTAACATACAAAAAGCAAAAGTGAAAAATAAAAAAATTTGGTAAACTAGTAAAATAAGGAGTTATACATTTTGGAATGTAAATGCAGTTATTATATACAATTGTCCACAAACAGAATGATTCAGAACTATAGAATAAAGTTTCTTGAGAATTTCCATGAAAGTTGCAGATATGAGAAGTTTCAGAATGATCATTTTTTTGCTGAAAACCATCAAAAATCATCCACCATTGTAACATGACATCTAAACCCTGTTACTGGGCAGCTCCTGCTTTCCTCTGTAGATTCACCTGTAATTAATTCATGCTTAAAAGTTAGCATCCAGTAAGCATGAATAGCTTGTGGTTTCCTTGTATATGTCATTGTTTTTGTTGTTTGTTTTCTGTTTTATCCCAAATGCTTTCTGCTTTCTTTTATTTATTTATTTGAAAAGTTCCCTCCTATCACCCAAGCTAGAGTGCCTTGGCGTGATATTTGTGATTGAAGAACTTTTGTAATATTGAAATGTTCTATATCATGAATGTTAGTGTAATTATAAGACCATGTATTTACAAAATATCACTTACTGAACACTTTAAATGGTGACTTTTAATATATCTAAGTGATATCTCATTAAATAAATTCAAAATGAAACAAAATCTGAAGATGACAGCTTGATTTCCATAGAATACAGAAATAAATGTACTAAATGGTTACTATAAATATTGCACCATAATAAAAATCTCACTCACATAATATATATTAAAAATCCCTAAAATAAATTACATGCAAATGGAATAGAGCAGTGTGTTAAAATAATCATATATCATGATTTTGTGGAATTTGGTCCCAGAAAGTTGAGATGGTTCAATGTTTGAAAACCTGTTGATATATTTTAATCATACTCCATGAATAAGTTTTAATTATTTTAAATTATGAACCATGTGAAGTGCTATATATCCAAATACTGAAATAAAATTTACAACTGTAACAAATTGCTACTAGAAAATTTTTAAAAATATGGAGCAAATGATGGATTTTACTTGTGAATCAATATCTAAACTAGAAAGGCATCAGGTAAAAATTGTTAAAGTAGAAAGAGAAACTAGAATATGATCCCCAAATTGGAAAGAAATAACTGACAGGAACGTGAGGAGCAATGTCACACAAATCTTTAACTTCTAAGTCATATTAAAAAAACTCTGAGTGATTTTTCATCAAAAATTTGTTTTCATACTGCCTCAAATTTCTTTTCAGTTGTGTTTAAAGCAAAGCCTTTTTATGATCCCTGCCTTATAAATAAATTTATTATCTAATAGCAAAAAAGATCAGTTGGCTGTAAGTATTCGGGTTTATTTCTAGATTCTCTATTCTCTTCCATTGGTCTATTTGCCTATTTACATACCAGTACCATGCTGCTTTGGTGACTATGGCCTTACAGTATAGTTTGAAATCAGGTAATGTGATGCCTCCAGATTTATTCATTTTGCTTACTGTTGCTTTGCCTATGTGGGTTCTTTTTTGGTTCCAGATGAATTTTAGGATTTTTATTCTAGTTTTGTGAAGAATGATGGTGACATTTTGATAAGAATTGCATTGAATTTGAAGATTGCTTTTGGCAGTATGGTCATTTTCACAATATTGATTCTACCCATTCATGAGCATGGGATGTGTTTCTATTTGTTTGTATGGTCTATGATTTCTTTCAGTAGTGTTTTGTAGTTTTCCTTGCAGAGGTCTTTCATATCCTTGGTTACGTATATTCCTAAGTATTTTATTTGTTTATTTATTTTGCTGCTATCGTAAAAGAATTTGAGTTCTTGATTTGATTCTCAGTTTGGTCACTGTTGGTGTATAGAAGAGCTACTGATTTGTGTACATTAATTTTGCATCCAGAAACTTTGCTGAATTCTTTTGCCAGTTCTAGGAGCTTTTTGGAGGAGTCTTTAGGGTTTTCAAGGTATACAATCACATCATCAGCAAACAGGGACAGTTTGACTTCAACTTTACTCATTTAGATGCTCTTTATTTCTTTCTCTTGTCTGATTGCTTTGTCTAGGACTCCCAGTACTATGTTGAAGAGGAGTGGTGAGAGTGGGCATCCTAGTCTTTTTCTAGTTCTCAGGATAATGCTGTCAACTTTTTTCCAATTCAGTATTATGTTGGCTGTGGGTTTGTCATAGATAGTTTTATTACATTGAGGTATGTCCCTTGTATGCTGATTTTGCTGAGAGTTTTAATCATAATGGAATACTGGATTTTGTCCAATGCTTTTTCTGCATCTATTGAGATGATCCATGTGATTTTTGTTTTTAATGCTGTTTATGTGGTGTATCACATTTATTGACTTGTGTGTGTTAATCCATCCCTGCACCACTGGTATGAAACCCACTTGATCATGGTGGATTATCTTTTTGATATGTTGTTGGATTTTGTTAGCTAGCATTTTGTTAAGGATTTCTGCATCTATATTCATCAGGGATATTAGTCTGTAGTTTTCTTTTTTGGTTATATCTTTTCCTGCTGCTCATAGTATGGTGATACTGGCTTCATAGAATAATTTAGGGAGGATTCCCTTTTTCTCTATTCTGTGGAATAATGTCAATAGGATTGGTACCAATTCTTCTTTGAATGTCTAGTGGAATTCAGCTTCGAAATTGTCTGGTCCTGGACTTTTTGTTTGTTGTTGGTAATTTTTAAATTACCATTTCAATCTGGCTGCTTGTTATTGGTCTGTTCAGCTTATCTAATTCTTCCTGATTTAAGCTAGAAAGGTTGTATCTTTCCAGGAATTTATTCATCTCCTCTAGGTTTTCTAGTTTATGTGCATAAAGTGTTCATAGTAGCCTGGAGTAATCTTTTGTATTTCTGTGTTGTCAGTTGCAATATCTCCCATTTCTTCCTAATTGTGCTCATTTGGAATTTCTCTCTTCTATTTTTGGTTAATTTTGCTAATTGTCTGTCAATTTTATTTATCTTTTCAAAGAACCAGCTTTTTGTGTCATTTATCTTTTGTATTTTGTTTGTTTGTTTGTTTCAATTTGATTTAGTTCTGCTCTGATCTTTGTTATTTTCTTTCTGCTGCTGGGTTTGGGTTTGGTTTGTTCTTGTTTCTCTAGTTTCTTCAGGTGTGACCTTAGATTGTCTATTCGTGCTCATTCAGACTTTTTGATGGAGGTATTTAAGGCGTTGAACTTTCCTCTTTGGACCACCTTTGCTGTATTCCAGAGGTTTTGATAGGTTGTGTCAGTATTTTTGTTCAGTTTGAAGAGTTTTTAAAGTTTCAGTGTGATTTCATTGTTCACCCAATGATAGAAGCAGGTTATTTAATTTCCATGTATTTGCATGGTTCTGAAGGTCCCTTTTGGAGTTGATTTCCAGTTTTATTCCACTGTGATCTGAAAGAGTGTTTGATATAATTTCCATTTTCTTAAATTTATTGAGACTTGTTTTGTGGCCTATCATATGGTCTATCTTGGAGAAAGTTCCATAGGTTGATGAATAGAACGTATATTCTGCATTTGTTGGGTAGAATGTTCTGTAAATATTTGTTAAGTTTATTCATTCCAGGGTATAGTTTAAAGCCATTGTTTCTCTGTTGACTTTCTGTCTAGGTGACCTGCCTAGTGCTATGAGTGGAGTATTGAAATCTTCCACTATTATTGTGTTGCTGTCTATCTCGTTTCTTAGGTCTAGGTGTAATTGTTTTATAAATTTGGGAGGTTCAGTGTTAGGTGCATAAATATTTAGGATTGTGATATTTTCCTGTTGGACAAGGCCTTTTCTCATTAGTGTTCCTCTTTGTCTTTTTGAATTGCTGTTGCTTTAAAGTTTGTTTTATCTGATATAAGAATAGCTACTCCTGCTCACTTTTGGTGTCCATTTGCATGGAATGTCTTTTTCCACCTCTTTACCTTTAAAGTTTATGTGAGTCCTTATGTGTTAGATGAGTCTCTTGAAGGCAGCAGATGGTTGGTGAATTCTTATCCATTCTGCAATTCTGTGTCTTTTAAGTGGAGCATTTAGGTCATTTACATTCTATATTAGTATTGAGATGTGAAGTACTATTATTACATTTATTGTGCTATTTGTTGCCTGTATACCTTGTTTTTTTATTTTATTTTTGTTGTATAGGTCTTGTGAGATTTATGCTTTAAAGAGGTTCTGTTTTGATGGGTTTCCAGGATTTATTTCAAGATTTAGAGCTCCTTTTAGCAGTTCTTGTAGTGCTGCCTTGGAAGTGGCAAATTCTCTTAGCATTTCTCTGAAAAAGACTGTATCTTTCCTTTATTTATGTAGCTTAGCTTCACTGAATACAAAATTCTTGGCTGATAATTGTTTTGTTTAAAAAGGCTGAAGATAGGGCCCCAGTCGTTTCTAGCTTGTAAGGTTTCTGCTGAGAAATCTGCTGTTAATCTGATAGGTATTCCTTTATAGGTTACCTGGTACTTTTGCCCCACAGCTCTTAAGGTTATTTCCTTCATCTTAACTTTAGATAACCTGATGATAATGTGCCTAGGAGATCATCTTTTGAAGATGAATTTCCCAGGTCTTCTTTGAGCTTCTTGTATTTAGATGTCTAGGTCTCTAACAAGGCCAGAGAAGTTTTCCTTGATTATTCCCCAAAATAGGTTTTCTAAACTTTTAGATTTCTTTTCTTCCACAGGAATGCCAATTATTCTTAGGTTTGTTCATTTGACATAATCTCAAACTTCTTGGAGGCTTTGTTCATTTTTTTCTTTTTCTTTCTCTTTGTCTTTGTTGGACTGGGTTAATTCAAAAACTTTTTCTTCGAGCTCTGAAGATCTTTCTTCTCCTTGTTTGATGCTATTGCTGAGACTTTCCAGAACATTTTCCAGAATTTGTTGCAACATGAAGATTATGTAATTCTATTAAAAATAGCTCTATTTTTGAAAGTGTATAATGTCAATTACTTCATTGTGCTTTTACAGTTTTTAAGGTCATATAATCAGTCTCAACTTCACTATGCAGTGAGAGATCAGTGATGTACATATCACATTTCCACTCTTATTTTCTGTAATTGCACGATTTGGGACACTTCATTACCATTTTAGTCCAACATTCAGTCATGTGCCCTAAGACCTTGTCTGTCTTTTTCATCATGATATTCCCAGTAATTAAGATAGTACCTAATTTTTAGATGGCTTTCACAATTATTTGCTGAATGAACCAATAAATTAACAAATGCTTGACAGAAATTTGCCTTTGATTACTATTATTAAACTTGTCATTTATTTTCCAGATTTTAGTTTGGTTTTTATTTACAAGAATATTAATTAGAAGCTCCAAAAAACACAATCATTACCTTGATCCAGAAAGAAAAGTATATAATGGCATTATTGGCCAAGTTAAAGTTAAAGAATTTACATCAATATCAAAATCTGAGAATATTTGCAAAGAGTAGTAATAGCCATAATTGTAATTATAATTGTAATCATAATTACAAAATAAACTCTTTAATCCACACAGCAGCTTTGGTACTTAGCTTTTTGAAGATCCAAATGCTTACAAATTTAACAAATTCATTGTTCCTAATGAGAATTAAAATTACGATTTTTTTTCACAGTTTATACATTACTTTGATAGGTGTTTTATATTTAAAGAGACAATATCTTTTGGTATCTTTTATTTTTATATTATTTTCATAATTTTGTTACTAAGTAGATTCATGTCTACTTAGAAAAATAACACAAACATGTAAGGCAATGAAGTATGAATTGATAAAATTCAAATATAATCTTATGAAGACTCAATGCTCATAGGATTTTATTACTACTGTCATTGACCAATTTTATTTATAAATTATATTAGTCATTTTGAGAATATATTTTAAAACTATTTCTTAATTTCAGATGTATGCATATTTTTCTCTCACGTGTTTGTAAAGAATTTCATATGCCCAATTTTATCCATGTTGTCACAAACATGTCGTCCATGCTGTCACAAATGAAAAAATTTCATCTTTTTAAGGCTGAACAGTATTCTATCATATACACATATCACATTTTCTTTATCCATTTATCCCTTGATAGAGATTTAGGTTGATTCCACAACTTGGATATTGTGAATAGTACTTCATTGAACAAGGGAGTACAGATATTTCTTTCATATACTGATTTCATATCATTCAGGTACTATCCAGAAGTGGAATTGCTAGATCTTATGTTAATTCTACTTTTAATTTTTCGAGGAACTTCCATACTTTTTTTCCATAAGGGTTGTACTAATTTACATTCCCACCAACAGCATAAAGCGTTCTCTTTTCTCTATATCCTTGCCAACACTTCTCTTTTGTCTTTTTTATAATAGCCATTCTAACAGGTGTGCGGTCATATTGCATAGTAGTTTTAATTTATATCACTTGAATGATTACCAATGTTGGACATTGTTTTCATTTATCTGTTAGCCATTTGTATGTCTTCAGTTGAGAAATATCTATTCAGGTCCCTTTCCCATTTCTTTTTTTTTTTAAGTTTTTTTTTTTCTTTTATTATTATACTTTAAGTTTTAGGGTACATGTGCACATTGTGCAGGTTAGTTACATATGTATACATGTGCCATGCTGGTGCGCTGCACCCACTAACTTGTCACCTAGCATTAGTTATATCTCCCAGTGCTATCCCTCCCCTCTCCCCCCACCCCACAACAGTCCCCAGAGTGTGATGTTCCCCTTCCTGTGTCCATGTGATCTCATTGTTCAATTCCCACCTATGAGTGAGAATATGCGGTGTTTGGTTTTTTGTTCTTGCGATAGTTTACTGAGAATGATGATTTCCAATTTCATCCATGTCCCTATAAAGGACATGAACTCATCATTTTTTATGGCTGCATGGTATTCCATGGTGTATATGTGCCACATTTTCTTAATCCACTCTATCATTGTTGGACATTTAGGTTGGTTCCAAGTCTCAAACTTATGCTAAGTGAAATAAGCCAAATACTGAAAGGCAAATACTACATGTTCTCACTTTTATGTGGAATCTAAAGCAATTGAACTCAGAAGCAAAGTAGACTGACTGGTGGTTACCAGAGACTGGAGGGTTAGGGGCATGGGGACATGGTGGGTAAAAAGCCTCACATAGGAGAAATAAGTTTGATTGCTTTTTTTCTTGAGATCAATAGCACAGCATGCTGAATATAGATAATAATTGAGTACTGTACATTTCAGTATCACTGAGAGTAAATTTCTAATGTTCTCATCACAAAAATGTTAAATATTTAAGGTGATATATATGTTAATTAGCTTAATTTAATCATTCCACATTGTATTAAAAAACCACAATCCACTCTGTATCCCATAAATATATACAACTATAATTTGTCAATATATAATAACAAAGGAGTGATTTCTGGCAATGAATTCAACAGCAAAAATTAAAAAAAAAAAAGAATTTCATATGCACTTTTTTTTGTACCGCTTTTCTTTTTTGAATGATTTTATTTCCATCGAATAATTGAATAAAACTTATGAACTTTTATCTGTTTTTATAACCTGCCTTTTTAGAATAATCACTGAGCAACCTTTTACTTGGCTAATCATAATTTAATTAATTATCACTGTAAATTTGCTGACCTATATTTAATGCACTTGAAAAGATAATTCTTTATTCATTTGATATCTCCTCTATAATAAATTCTACATAGCAATTATCATCATAAACAGGTTGATTGCTATTCAAATGCCCTTGGTGAAAAGAGCAGTAAACAAATCCTTTTCTGTGGTGCTCTGCGTATACTCTTCTTTGTCCAGCATCTTGAACACTACTCCATATCTTTTGACATGGGTTGATCCAGAGTGCCTTTGCTAATAATGGCCTGATAATTTATGACTAGCTGTCACCAGGCTAGAGGATTATAACTCTATTAATATTTCACTAGCACATCTATATAGCTCAAGGAGACAACAATGCCAGAAGGTAAAATGAAAAGAAAAGCAGCTCTGATCATATAATCAAAAAATTGTCACTTTCACTGTTGTCTGAGCTTTTTGTCAGGAAACTGATAAAAAAACTTGAAAATAAAACATCCAATCTATTATGGGTTACTGAACTGATAGGTTTTTGGTCAAACTTCCCTGTCAGAAAACCTTAGAAACTGTGTTATGCACAGATATTCAAGAGTACTTTAGTTTATTCAGTTCATCTTTATGATAAATTGAAGGCACGTGAAAAAGCTGCGTAGACACGAGAACTGTTTCTGAACTAGAAGTCATGTGAAATTTAGACAGCAGTCTGCATTTGGCAGTGGAATTCTTTTCCCACAAATCAGACCCAGAAGAGGAATAAGAAAAGATGTCTCGTTATGTCAGTAAAAATGAAACAATAATTGCTTAATTCTCAATATTAGATTTTATTGTTTGCTTTCTCTGTTATTACACTTTTTCATTTTGGATAAATACTCTAAAGAGCAACTAAAAGAAAAATATATTTAACATTTGCTGATTGCCTTTTTTGGTGTGTGTGTGTTTTCTTGATAACATTAGGAAAAGTATTATAAGATTCTACAAATTTCGTCTTCAAGATTTACATAGTCATGTTTTGATGTTTTTGTTTCAGGTCTAAGATTAAACTTATATTGGATGATTGAATCTATTGCCTCTTTTTTTCCTCCTAAATAGCCATTATTTTTGTCACTTTGTCCTTCGCTTTCTTGAGTACAATTCAGTCCTTACCATTCTGAACTGTTGATGATCTTTTCAACATTAATCTCATTTATATTGATAACATTGCACCCTTTTCAATTGTTCTTGACTCTCCTGCTTTTCTCTCTGGAGTCATGCAGGGGACCTCAGAGTGTGAATCTGCAATCTGAACTTGAAGTGGCAGTGAGGATTTCTGGACTTCAGGTTTATTATTCTTTCTGGAAACGCTGTCTGCCTCTTTTTCTGAATGACATTTCAGCAGTCTTTCTATTACTTGGGGTTAATTGCTATTGGAAAAGAAATCTCACTTTTTTGCTTAAGGCTATTAATAGTACTCGGCCTTCATTTATTAATAAACATGGTATGATCTATTTCAAGAGACACTGAATGATATACAGCATGAAAGTGTATTTAGAATATATAAATTGTTTGTAAATCTTTAATTAAGAGGCTAGTTTGCTAGTAAAGAGTTTATTACAATTATTTTTCTATTCTGCTAATTATTATTCAATGCCAAATTATTATACAATACTTTTTTGTTCTCTTAACAGTTAGTGTTCCACAAAAGATTTGCTTAGCTATCTAATAGTATTGCAAAATTAACTGGTTTACTCAGTGAAATGGCCAGTCTAAGTCAATTAAGAAAACAAATATATTGGGATTACTTTTCTTCAAATTGATAGCAAGCTTTTCTCTTACATTTTAATACTTTATGAACCACAGAAATATTGCTTGTTAAATATATTAAAGAGGTGTTAATTAGCAGCAGTTGATTTGTTTTCTGAAAATGCAATACTATTTTTAAAAATATTATATTTATTTTAGGTTTTGTCCTTAAAAAGTCCATGTCTTTAGATTATTTATTAAGTTATCTTAATTAAAAGTTAATTAGTACTTTCCTTTATATTAATTTATTTATAAATATGTATTTATCATCTACTATATGCCATTCATTAATGGTAAGTAAGAAATAGTGGTTAATATTACATTTCCTGAAAATACACTATTGAAGCGTAAATCACTCCCAGCTTATTAATTAGTAAAGTAACTATCATACCTTGCATAAGTTACTTAAAAGGGATGCTTTCGTTTTCTCATCAATATGTGGGAATGATAATATTACCTTTCTCATTGCATTATTGTATGGACTAAATGGCCTAGAATAAATCCTGGCACATAAATTGTATTATTTTTGTTATTGCATTTGCCAGAAATAAGTGCTAAAGAAGGTAGATGAGGTTTTTTATGTTACCAAGTTCACATTTTATTAAGAATACAGACAAAAAAATTAACTATTAAAAACATTAAATTACTAAACGTGCATATAGAATAAAAATAATGGGGAATTGTGATATTATGGTGAGGTACCTGGATAAGATACAGACTTTCCCTGAATGGAATCACTTTTGTAGAAGGAAAAATACAATATCACGTATGTGACCTGAATCTAATAGTAAGCCATAAAAGAAAACCAGGGAAAGAGCTTTGTAGCAGAGAAAGAGAAAAGTTTCAGCTATGAGAATCTGCAACAGTTTCCTGGAGATGTTAGCAACTGAACTGGACTTCATGAGATTGTCAGATTTTAGATTTGTTGTGTGAATTGAAGAAAAAAGAAACAAAATCAAAAACCTCCAGGCAGAGGGACCAAGGTAGTCAAAGACATCTATCAATCAGAATTATACATATATATATATATATATATGAACTCTTGTATAATAGATGTTTTAAATTTTTTTATTTCCAAAAATAAGAACCAATGTGCATAGAAAGTGATCTCTGTCTTAGTCTGTTCAGGCTGCTATAACAAAATATAATGGGGTTGTTTAGAAACGAAATAAATGTATTTCTCACAATTCTAGAGGCTGGGAAATCCAAGATCAAGACTCTGGCATATCAAGGGTCTGCTGAGGGCTTGCTTCCTCATAAACAGTTGTCTTCTCATTTTAACCTGACACAGAGAAAGGAGGTCGGAATATTTCTATGGGCCTCTTTTGTTAGAGCACTAAGTCCCCTCCTATGATCTAATCACCTCCCAAAGACTCCACCCCCTAACCATCACCCTGGATGTGAGGATTTCAATATATGATTTTGGAGGGACCTAAACATTCAGATTATAGCAGTGTGTCTCATCATATAAAATAAGTCCCGAAGTACCCAAGAAAATGAGATAAAGTTGCCTAACAAAACAAAATATGACATAGCAATGGATTTTTTAAAAAAATTGCTGGAAATATGTAGCATTATAGTTCTTCAACTGTTAAGCTTAGTTGAAATTGTGCCTTCATAAATTTACTTCTAAGAATCTTTTTTTAGAGGATAATTTATAGTGTAGTCTAAGGTCCAATGTTGATGTTAAAAACTGCCATCTGTCTGCAATAAGATAAGTACAGAAATTGAGAGTGAGTATGTCAAAAATTGTGTAAAATTTGACAGGGTAATTTTAGGTCAAAAACTTGGCTTTATATCTTGTGTCTTTTTAACTTTTCTAATAATTTACTTTTAGTGTCTGCTTTAGATTATAAATTAAGACAAAACAAATGAACAAACCAACAAAAAACCCTGTATCTTCACCACTGAAAGTTTGAAAATACCGCATTAAGAAGTTGAAAAAAGTCTTCCTTGTATTGTACACTAACTGGTTACCTTTATAGTTGTTATTTATACTGACTTTGCCATAAACTGAACTGGCTCTTAGCTGAAACTTTGAGCTCGTGGTGGTGCCAAGAACAAAAAATGGGACCTAGGAGAATGATAGTCATTAGGTGCCATGTTAGCTGGGTTATTTCTAAACTCAGTTTCTCAGAGAAATCAGTAAAACACCATGCAACATATAGATGCTTAAGTAAAGTTCGAGTAACATATACTAAATTTACTTTATACATTCCAAGTGTGTATAGAAATGGAAATAATAATTCTTGAAAAGGTAACAAATCTATTCCTGACTATCCCTCGGTAAGTTCAGGACTTGCAAGGCTGAGGACAGATCCTGAATCCGTCAGAGTTGCACTAAGTATAAAGATGACTCTATAGCCTTTCAAAAGACCTATGAGTTGTTACAGAGTGAATTTTGTTAGACTATCACTTGGTGGTAAAATTAACTGTTCCTCCTCTTTTGAGAGTTTATAATTACATACTGTTTGCCTGTGAATTATCAGGAGACACAGAGAAGAACCCTTCAATTTCTTGCCAAAAGTAATTTAGATGCCAGAATCTTACTTTTAGAGACTGGCAAGCAGCAACTAGAACCCCTTCTCTGTGACCTTTAAGGTGAAATAAGAGATTCACTGGAAGATCCCAGAGAAAGGCTGATTTGGGAAACCTGGATTTCAAGCAATTTTAATATATTAAGTATTAATCCAAAATTTGTTGATATCCAAATAAAACCTTCATAGATACAACAGAGCCGTTTCAGAAAATGCATGTTATCTCACCTTAGGATTCAACAACTGGCAAAAGTGCAGACAGCTTAAATAAAGCTTGGTGTCCTATTATCTCCAGAAAATACCCTCTAGAGATAGAATGATTGGGTCCTACTCACTTGAATATTCTTGAAGCCTCATATGGCTTGGATCTGTGTCCCCACTCAAATTCATGTTGAATTGTAATCCCCAGTATTGGAGCTGGGGCCTGGTAGGAGGTGATTGAATCATGGGGGCAGAGTTCTCATGTGTGATTTAGTATCATTCCCTTGGTATTGTACTTGTGATAATGAGTGAGTTCTCAGGAGAGCTGGTCATTTAAAGGTGTGTGGCATCTCCCCTGCTCTGTTACTCCTGCTCTCGTTGTGTGACATGCTTGCTACCCCTTTGCCTTCCTCCATGATTGAGTAAGTTTCCTGAAGCCTCCCCAGAAACTGAGCAGATGCCAGGCTCATCCTTCCTGTACAGCCTGAGGAACTGTGAGCAAATTAAACTTATTTTCTGTATAAATTACCCAGTCTCAGGCATTCCTTTATAACAGTGTGAGAACAATCTAATACGTGCCTATGCATCATACATTGTTGTACTGGAGAATAGTCTATACTTTGATTAAAAAATGTTATATAGTTTACAGTGATTGGTGTAATAGTGATAAAGGTGCATCTTAAGCACTATTTTAAAAAAATGTTATATTTCTGCCTCCATATTCAACCAAAACTCCCTTAGGCTCTCCGAGCTGAGAGCAACGGCAAATGAGAAAAGCCTAGGACAGACCTGTGGATTAGAACACAGATGCTGCCTCCGAATGTACTTGGGAATCAAGAGTTACTTTACTAAGGGAGCCAGTGGGCTTTATTTGGGAGACATAGAGTGAAAACTGATCAAGAAACCTCTGGAAAGAAAGTTTGCTTTTCTAGAGCAGACAAACAGGAGGAATATTCTAAAACAGAACATTTTAGCAGAAAAAGAAACTTAGCACTCGTCATTAGAACCCCTGAGCTACAATCTTATTCTAATTTGTTTTAATTTTTTTTAATTATTATTATACTTTAAGTTTTAGGGTACATGTGCACAATGTGCAGGTTAGTTACATATGTATGCATGTGCCATGCTGGTGCGCTGCACCCACTAACTCGTCATCTAGCATTAGGTATATCTCCCGATGCTATCCCTCCCCCCTCCCCCCACCCTAATTTGTTTTAATTTATAGCCATTTCTCTGAATTAATTTTGTTACGCATTATTTACATCTTCAATAACCTGAAAATGATAGCACTCTTGATAGTGTCGACTGTTTCTGTTGGGTGTAAATATTTGTCTCTATAAAGCAAGCAGAGAAGCACATTCACAGGAGGCGATAATATGTTGATTTTAATGAGAATAATAATTTTATATGAAATAAATACATGGTAAAAAAAATTCCTACTTCTGTCTGAAATCAAAATTCTTTGGCTGCAAACATCTTGAACCTGAGTTAACATAAGCAAATAAGTAAATTTATTGGAGAAAAGCCAGAGTATCTTGTCTTACAGAGAAGCAGAAGTGAAAGGGAGTAGTTATCATGCAAAGTCCATCTAAAATTTCCACCAGTTTCAATCTCCACTCAAAGTTTTCTTGTTTTAATTTGTTACCTAAATTATAAACTCTGCAAGAAGAAAATTAGTTCCCCTCAAAGTCAGTTGCTTTGAAGTATTAAATGAAGGTCTAAGGGTTCATGATCACAATTCTGTAAATGGCCACATCATGCTTTGTGCTCTTGCTCTAGCTTCTTGGACCCCATGCAGAAAGAGGAGATGTGTCACTGCTTCCATCCTGTGCAGTTCAAAGGGTCAGACCCACGCTTTGCTTGCAATCAGCATTTTACAAACCTTTTGGGAAGCATTCCTCAGCTTCCATTTTTGCCCAGAATTTCATGCTTCTTAAGAAATCTTTACCTTCAGTGCTTGCCCTTCATGTTGAAATCAAATAACCTCAAAGTAAGTTCAAGTAAATCAGACACTATCCCATGCCTTTCATCCTCTTCCACTTTCCTAGGCCCTAAACTTTCCTCTTATCAAACTCCTGCACCGTCTCCCATTTGCAAAACAACATCCCATGATGAACTCTTGTTGCAAGCATGTATTAGATGGTGAGTCAAGTATGGTAAAAGTCGCAAGATTGGAACCTTTCTTGATCAGTTAAAATGCCCTGCTACAAGTTAAAGAAAATGTTGCTCATCTTCCTTCAATGTCACTTTCATGTGATAATTACATGGACTTCTTCGTTTCCAGCTTATTTGATACGATGCTTTAGCTGTGTGTGTGTGTGTGTGTGTGTGTGTGTGTGTGTGTATAACACTTTGACTCTAGCAAATTTTCCCTTCTGGATAAGAAAACCCTTCAAAGCCCAGATCTCCTTTCCCAGATAGAGGTGCCGTTGCACTTTCCCAGAGCTGCTTGCTCCTTACAATCAAACTGGCATCGTGATCGGCAGTACTAAGCCCTCACTTTATTTGATTCTCAGGATGAGACTTATGGTTGCCTCTGTCAGAGTAGAGTCCCTTGTCTGCATGTTTCTATCAGTGCTTTGATGTGCTGTGAAGATTAATGCTGATCAATGACATGAATAACAGGGTATACTTGATCATTGATTTTACTTTTTCTCTGGCTGAAAGTTTCTTAAATTGTTTGATTTTGATGATAAAGATTTCATCGTAACTCCTTCTCACCCCTAGAAATTTGGAACATAATCCACAGACACATGACCTTGGACTTCTTGTGAATGCTTTATCAAGACCTATGACTCACGACATTAAATCATTTTGTGGCACACATTAAGTAGTAAAGGGAAAGAAATTTTAAAAAATAACCATTGTATAGCCTGAGCTGTACTCAATAGGGTTCAAACAAAACATTATCATTATTTTTTTCACTCTGTCTTCAAAATTGCTCAGTGAATATTCTTTCTCTCCCCCTGAATGAAATGTTAGACAGGTACTATAGCTTTTCTCATTACTCTTGAATAACAGAACATCCTCTAGACATCATTTATTCCAATAATACCCTTAGTGTCTATGGTAACTGTTAACATGAAAAATATGTTACAAGTCATATCTTCTTTAGCCTCTTTCTAATTTAGTCTAGAAAGCCTGCAGTGAGGTCAGTGATGATGAGGAACTTTTCTTCTATTTCCCCACAGTGCTTTTGTGTTTTTTTTTCTCTCTGTCTTACCATGAACTCAGACTTATCTAGAGTTTGACTAGAAGTAGAGAAGAATAAGGGAAAGAACACATGACCACTTATCTGGCCACTGCTGTCTTGTCTACTAGTGCTTGGCAAATGTTTAAAATTCTGTTGTGGAACACTTACGTTTTCTTAGAGACTTCCCCAGGGCATTTTCCAGAGCAATGCAAGTAATATGGGCTGCTTACGACTCCAGCTCTCAGTTTCTGAGAGCTGCAACTTGCAAAATAGAAAACCACAATCTCATGTTTGTTTGTGCTTCACTATGTGAGGTCCATCTCACATAGACCCTTTCTGTTGGAGTCCCATTGTTCTCCAGGTGGCCGTCTTGGGCTGTGTCCTTTATGGGATGACTTTCAGTGGACTGACTTGCTTTTGTCATTGGAGAAAGAGTGGTGTGCTCTCCAAGTGGTCCTTTTAAAGCATTTCATGTGGACCTTTTGAAGCCCCATTTACCAGACCTGAGGGAGAAAAAAGTTATTATCTCTACCCTATGGGGAGTATGGGAGATGTATCAGTAATTCTACACATTCTTGACATTCTTTAACTATCAGCTAGAAGTGTTTAGAATCTTTAGATGAATCCAGGGTGCTGAAATCAGTTTTAGGCATCTGTTTTTGCAAGTTCTGTATCAGTGGTATAGCAGGTCTAGCACCTCAAAAAGGGAATGTGAGGTCAACTGAACATCCCTTGTATTCTGCTCAACCTTTGAGTTATCAGCCAAAGTGATCAAGAATCTAATTTTAATAATCAGTCATATATTATTATTACACATCATGAGTAAATTATTGAAGGGAATGTAATATTATTGGGAGGAAATAAAAAATGAGATTTTAGATACCACAATAAAAGAAAGCCAAAAAAAGGAAAGAGAGCATAGAGGGATGGTCTGAATAGCAGAAAACATGTAGAATAAGGGCAAACATATGATTGCTAAGTCAAAACCATATTTATTAAATTTTAAGTTAATAAATAAGAAACTAGGAATAAATTTCTACAATTTTAATATTTTAATGTTTATATTTCTAATATTTTGAAATCCTAAAATAGAGGGAAAGCCGAAATATAATTTAAAATGTTCTTAGAAAATTAAAAATGTTACACAAAAAAATTTTCAAAAATCGAAGAAAATTTAACATGTTTTGAAGAGAAATTGACAGTGTTTTTGGATGCCTTCTAATGTGTAAACATGTTAATTATGACTTCAATCTGGATAATGTGGAATATGAGCAAGTATGACATTGTGGTTTCCCATCTTGCAAGTTACGGTATACTTGAAAAATAGTTTTGGTAAAAGACATTATTTACAATGACTCTGAAAAGTAAATATTATGAACATTATTATCTGTACATTTATTAGAAGCTTTCCCCAACTGACTAAGGTTTGAAGACAATTTTTCAAAAAAGAATGAAAATTTTTCTAGAGCAGCAGTTTGTAGTTCTCCTTGAGGAGGTCCTTCACTTCCCTTGTTAACTATCTTCCCACGTATTTTATTATCTTTGTAGCAATTGTGAATGGGATTTCATTCATGATTTGGCTCTCTGCTTGTCTGTTGTTGGTGTATAGAAGTGCTTGTGACTTTTGCACATTGATTTTTTATCCAGAGACAGCTGAAGTTGCTCATCAGCTTAAAAAGCTTTTGGGCTAAGACAGTGTGGTTTTCTAGATATAGGATCATGCCATCTGCAAACAAAGACAATTTGACTTCCTCTCTTCCTATTTGAATACTGTTTCTTTCTTTCTCTTGCTTGATTGCCCTGGCCAGAACTTCCAATACTATGTTGAATATGAGCGGTGAGAGAGGGCATCCTTGTCTTGTGCCAATTTTCAAGGGGAAAGCTTCCAGCTTTTGCCATTCATTATGATATTGGCTGTGGGTTTGTCATAAATGGCTCTTATTATTTTGAGGCATGTTCCTTCAATACCTAGTTTATTGAGAATTTTTATAACATGAAGGGATGTTTAATTTTACTGAAGGCCTTTTCTGCATCTGTGGAGCTCATCATGTGGCTTTTGTCTTTAGTTCTGTTTTTGTGATGAATTATGTTTATTGATTTCCATGTATTGAACCAGCCTTGCATCCTGGGGATGAAACCAACTTGCTTGTGGTGGACAAGCTTTTTGATGTGCTGTTGGATTCAGTTTGCCAGTATTTTATTGATAATTTTTGCACTGATGTTCATCAGGAGTATTGGCCTAAGGTTTTCTTTTTCTGTTGTGTCTCTGCCAGGTTTTGGTATCAGAATGGTGCTGGCCTCATAAAATGGGTCAGGGAGGAGTCCCTCCTTTTCAATTGTTTGGAATAGTTTTGAAGAAATGGTAAAGCTCCTCTTTTTACCTCTGGTATAATTCAGCTGTAAATCCATCTGCCCCTGGGCTCCTTTTTTGTTGTCAGGCTATTTATTACTTTCTTAACTTTAGAACTCATTATTGGTATACTCAGGTTCAGTCTTGGGAGGGTGTATGTGTCCAGGAATTTGTCCATTTATTCTAGATTTTCCAGTTTATTTTCATATAAGCATTTATGGTATTATCTGATGGTTGTTTGTATTTCTATGGGGTCAGTGTGAAATCCCCTTTATCATTTTTTATTGTGTCTATCCGATTCTTCTTTATTTTCTTCTTTATTAGTCTAGCTACCAATCTATCTATTTTATTACATTTTTCAAAAAACCAGCTCCTGGATTCATTTATTTTTGAAGGGTTTTTCATGTCTCTATCTCCTTCAGTTCTGCTCTGATCTTGGATATTTCTTGCCTTCTGCTAGCTTTGAGGCATATTTGCTCTTGGTTTTTTAGTTCTTTTAGTTGTGATGTTAAGATGTTGATTTGAGATCTTTCTAGCTTTTCAGCTTTTCAGTGTGGGCTTTTAGCTTTTCAGATTTTCTAGCTTTTCTAGCTTTTCAGTGCGGGCATTTAGTGCTATAAATTTCCCTCTTAACACTACCTTAGCTGCGTCTCAGAGATTCTGGTACATTTTCTGTTTGTTCTCATTAGCTTCAAATAACTTATTGATTTCTGCCATAGTTTCATTATTTACCCAGGAGTCATTCAGAAGCAGGTTGTTCAATTTCCATGTAGTTGTGTAGTTTTGAGTGAGTTTCTTAATCTTGAATTCTTACTTGATTGAACTATGGTCTGAGAGACTGGTTGTTATGATATCAGTCTTTTTGCATTTGCTGAGGAGTGGTTTACTTCTAATTATGTGATCAATTTTAGAATAAGTGCCATGTGGCACTGAGAAGAATGTGTATTTTGTTGTTTTTGGGTGGAGAGTTCTGTAGATATCTATCACGTCCATTTGATCCAGAGATGAGATCAAGTCCTGAATATCTTTGTTAATTTTCGGTCTCAATGGTCTGCCATATATCAACAGTGGGGAAATCAGAGAAGACACAAACAAATGGAAAATAATTCCATGCTCATGGATAGTAAGAATCAATATAGTGAAAATGGCCATACTGCCTAAAGTAATTTATAGATTCAATGCTAAACTACCATTGACATTCTTCACAGAATTAGACAAAAACTATTTTAAAATTCATGTGGAACCAAAATAGAGCTCATATATCCAAGACAATGCTAAGCAAAAAGAACAAAGCTAGAGGCATCACACTACTTGACTTCTTTTATAAGATAGATGCACATGTTTGTTCATTGCAGCACTATTCACAATAGCAAAGATATGAAATCAACCTGAATTCCCATCAATAATAGACTAGATAAAAAATGTGTTACATATACACTATGGAATACTAGGCAGCCCTTAAAGGAATGAGATCATGTCCATTGCAGGGACATGGATGGAGCTGGAAACCATTATCCTCAGGAAACTAACACAGGAACAGAAAACCAAACACCACATATTCTCTCTCACTTATAAGTAGTAGCTGAACAGTGAGAACACATGGACACAGGGAGCAAAACAATACACACTGGGGCCTGTCGGGGAGTAGGGTAGGGGGAGGGAGAGCATTAGGAAAAATAGCTAATATATACTGGGTTTAATACCTAGGTGATAGGTTGATAGTTGCAGCAAACCACCATGGCACATGTTTACCTGTGTAACAAACCTGTACATCCTCCTGCACATGTACCCTGGAACTTAAAATAAAAATAAAAATTTTTAAAAAAGAAAACATGACTTGTAGGTATTTTTTCACGGTCTAAACACAAATATTAAGGCACATTTGGATCAGCAACCTGAAACAATTCATGTTGATCAGAGGATAAATTATATTAATGAATAAGAAGTGATTAAGTACTTAAGGCCTAAGGATTAAGCAGATAGTAACATCCCCTTACTCTGTGTGTGTTATGTGTGCATGTGTGTGTGTGTTTTGATACAGATAGTCCTAATCATGTTCCTTGATTGAAAATATAGTCTTACTTATTTTAAATAATTTTTCAACTTTTCCTATGTGCTTAAAGTTAATGGCAGTCAACCTCAAGAGGTGATGATCCGGAGGCATGGCTCAAGCAAGACAGTGATTCCAGTGGCTGAAACTTGCCAAAACCAGAAGCTATTGCACAATTTAAAACAAGAAGCACTGATATTGCATAACTGGAAATTATCAGTGAGATCTTTGTTAAAAATACTATTGAAGCCAAAGACAGGTGATTTTTTAAATGCATAATTAAGTAAACTGAAAATAAAGCATCAAAATACCAAATCTTAGAAAATATAATTATTGGAAAATTAGTATGGAACATCCTTAAGGAAGGCCAAAGAAAATGCAAAAGATAATTGATGTCTTCGCCAGTTCAGATTGCTATGAAAAAATAGCAAAGACTGGATGGCTTTTAAAAAACAGAAATTTATTTCTCAAGGTTATAGAGGCTGGGAATCTGAGGTAAGGATTCCAGTGTGGTTGAGTTCTGGTGGGAGTGTCTTCTGGGTCGCCGACTGCCATTTTCTCATGTATCCTCATATGGCAGAAAGAAAGCAAGAGATTTGTCTGGGGTACCTTCTATAAGGGCACTAATTCCATTCATGAGGACTTCACTAACCTGACCTAATTACTACTCAAAGGCCCCACCTCCTAATACCATCACATTGGGGGTTAGGATTTCAACACATGAATTGTAGGGGACATCAACATTCAGTCTATCTCAATTTGGATTTGAATTGCTTTTATTTTTGTAAGACTGAAGAAGATGGATGCTGCAACGTTGTAAGCATATTATGAAATCTGGGAAATCCAAAGGATGAGCTATAAACAAAAGGGTCAAAAGCATCTAGAAATGTAATCTTGGGGCAAGACTTGATGGTGGAAACAAATATGGACACTCAAGAACAAGTCCAGTCAGTTTAAACTCATTTGCTTTTCTGATAAATTTACTACTCTTAGAGATAAAAAGAATAATGCAGGCAATTTGCATCTACATTTTTTAAGGCATTTGTCAAAGGCCTACACAATATTTTTGGGAGAAAAGATAAAAAATATTAATTCAGAGTTTCTTATGCTCTTGACTATCTAGAGAGAGGTGACTAAATAATGGTGTTATTTGGGAATTGTGATACATCTATCCTGTCATTTTAATCTTAAAACCACAATTTATGCAAACACATGGGTTTGGGAATAAACAAAAGTTCAAAGAATTGAGTTTGATAAAAAGGGTGAGAAATCAAAGTTTTTGACATTTTAGAACAAAGGGACAAAATGAACTAGAAGAAATTCAATGAATGCTCTTGTATTAAAAAATAGAAAAATGAAGAATGAAGCTACACGTTAGGATTGTAACACTGTCGTTAATTTTCCTTTAATTTTGACCAAGGATTCTAAAGATAATAAATTAGATATTACACTACATAAAATAAAAAATGAGAGCTACACATATATTCTTTTTTTTTTTCTTTGAGACAAGGTCTTGCTCTGTCACCCAGGCTGGAGTAGTGAGTGCAGTGGCATGATCATGGTTCATTGCAGCCTTGACCTCCTGGACTCAAGCGATCCTCCAACCTCAGCCTCCAAGTAGCTGAACCTACAGACATGAGCCACCAGGCCTGCCTAATTTTTGTATATTTTGGAAAACATGTTTTCATCGTGTTGCCATGGCTGGTCTTGAACTTCTAGGCTCAAGTGATCCACCCACCTCAGCCTCCCAAAGTGCTGGGATTACACGTGTGGGCCACTGTGCCCTGCCTAGATTATTTTAGACTTCAGTAAAAAATATTTTTATAAAATGTTTTGAGTATACATATTTTTAATGTTTTGCATTTTATTTAATAATAATACAGATGTTTTAAAGAAATTGTAAAAATTATTAAAAATTAAGTTCTTAAATCCAGTTTAAATTATCTTAAAAAGTACATAAATAATACAAATCTTTAATGTTCATAGACTTTTCTTATAACATCCTGAATATTGCAAAGAGAATAATAATAAATAAAAGTAAGACTGTGAGTCTTGCAGATATTTAAAAAATCTCTGAGAAGAAAAACATAATTATTTTTGAGGGTTGAAAAGATGATCAGAAATGCTAAGAGGCTGATATTGCAATATTCGTTTAACCAATATATGTTCTCTATTTCTTTTATCATAATGAAGCTATCTAACTACCTGCAGGGAATGTTATAAAGATTAATTACTTCATTTTTGTAAGAGTTCGTAAAGTTTAATAATATTAAATAAAAGGACAAATGAAAGATTGAAGTAAGTGCTATTAAACATTGTCACAAACCCATCTATTATTATTACTTACACAGACGAATGTCAGCATTTCACTTGCAAGTTCCATTAATGTACATTCAGAAAACATGGCAAACTTTTATTAAAAATTGTAAGAAAATACTATCTATATTCTGTGCATAAAAATTTTATGAAGGTTTTAATTAAATCTTGATGAACCCCATTCTGTAACACTTCCCTTCCTTCTTATCTGTGACACTGTACTTTTTACCCTTTCCTAGCTCTCTGATCCTTTTCATATTCATCTCCCTAAAAAAGGTGTTTCTCAGTGTGATAACACTTTAAATTTATCTAAGACTATTCTTTTGGGTATATCAGTTGTCGTCCTCCTTTGGCAAACTTCAAAATCTATGTTGTTAGCTCATCCACACAAACCGATATGTAACATATACAAATTGTTGCACTGATATTAGAATATTTGTCACAACCTCTCTCTGTAGAAATTGTTAACTTGGAGTAAACAGATTCATAACAAATTGTGAACTTCAGAAAAACAAAAATGCTTCATGCTTACAACTGAAATATTAGTTGAGCTTACTTAAACTCATGTAAAAGAATATAAGCGACTTTTTATCTGAGTTTTATAGAAAAAAATGATATTGTGGGCAGCATTTTGTTTTCTAAAAATAAGCTTTCAAAATTATGACATCTCCACCAGGCGTGGTGGCTTATTCCTGTAATCCCAGCACTTTGGGAGCCCAAGGTGGGTGGATCACCGGAGGTCAGGAGTTCGAGACCAGCCTGGCCAACATGGTTAAACCCCATCTCTACTAAAACTTCAAAAATTAGCTGGGCGTGGTGGCAGGCACCTGTAATACCAGCTACTTGGGAGGCTGAGACAGGAGAATCGCCTGAACCTGGGAGGCAGAGGTTGCAGTAAGCCAAGATTGCACTGCTGCACTCCAGCCTGGGCAACAAGAGTGAAACTCCAAAAATAATAATAATAATAACAATAACTATGACATCTCTATGTTTTGTGTGTGTGTGTGTGTGTGTGTGTGTGTGTGTGTGCACAAACAGGAACATAGGAAGGCCCAGCATTTTGAATCAGCTTACTGCATGATTACTGATGTGCTCAATATGAGGACATATTTTTGATATGCAGATATTCTCTTTATATCCAAAGAGAACCTTGGTATAATCTTTGTGAAATCTAATTTTGTGTATACAAGTGTAACATATATTTTCTTCAGTATGCTTGACTTTAAAGGAAGACAGTGATACTTTCCTAACAGGATCGGTGTAGCTGTTAAATTGAATCATGCAGGAATATAAATGGCAAACCTGCATTAAAACTTTGATCCTCTATGGTAAACTGTTATGGAGATTCCTTAAAGAACTAAAAGTAGATCTACCATTCAATCCAGCAATCCCACTACTGGGTTTCTACCCAAAGGAAAATAAGACACTATATGAAAAAGACACAAGCATATGAATGTCAATAAAGAAAATGTCACATACACACACACACACACCATGGAATACTACTCAGCCATAAAAAGTAATTAAATAATGTCTTTTGCAGCATCTTGGATGGATCTGGAGGCCATTATTTTAACTGAAGTAACTTAGGACTAGAAAACCAAATGCTACATGTCCCCTTATAATGAGAATGCAAAGACATCCTCATTATAAGAGTGGTGATATAATGGACTTTGGGGACTCAGGGTGAGGGAGCAGGGTGGGAGGGGAATGAGGCATAAAAGACTACATATTGCATATAGTGTACACTGCTCAGGTGATGGATGCACGAAAATCTCAGAATTCACCATGATAATATTATCCATGTAACCAAAACCACTTGTATCCCCAAAGCTACTGAAATAAAAAACAAGACGAAACAACAGAAAACTTTGATCCTGAAGAGACAATAAAGTTTATCTTCCTTTCTGTCTTCCACACAATAGACTCATATATTTAATTCAAGTTTGTGCTTCAGTGATATTGCAAATTATTCAAATTTTTAGCAAATATGAAAGTATATTTTGTGCCAGGTCAAGAGAGATTTCTGAAAAAATAACAGTAAAGAGACAAGATAAAGTTCCTGTTCCTGTGGGTGCAGATATCAGATGAAGGAAATAGGCCTTGAACACATAAACGCAAATAAGTATGTAATTATACTGTGAGAAATGTTATAAAGAAATCTACAGGGTGTTTTGAGATTTTATAACAAAGGGCTTTGATATCTAATGAGAAGTAATTGGTATTTAGGCAAAGACCTGGAAGATTATTTGGAGTTGGCTATGTGAAATGGGTATATATTCCAAGCAGGAAAATCAACGTATTTATGAACTTTTTGGAGTGCCTCATAAAACAAAGTAGCTACAGAATTAAGTGTAGTTGATTTCTATTTTGTTAATTTATACAATATGATCAATTACCTATTATTTGTTGAATTAGTAAACATACAAAATAAATAACATCCCAGTAAATAATTGTCCTGGAATTTAATTTCAATGTCATTTGATTTAATAGGGTTCAGATGGAAGAACCTATGACTCTTATTTGAATAGCTGGAATATGATAGAATATCTCAGTAAGGACTTGCTAATTGAATAGAATACTTAGCTCATGATTATTTAAAATCTACTGAATAACTTAAGATATCTATATGAACAATAATTAGCCTATGCAAGATATTATGAACTGGTGATCAAAATCTCAAAATCTCAGATAGATTTCCTCCTGAAAACTTTCATATACCCATGGACGCAATGATATCAATTGCGAAGCTGAAGATTGCAATCAGATTAGCATAATTCTGAGATTATTTTTCTACGCCAACACATGTTAAAATGTAACTCTAATTAAAGCAGGAAGTACATATTGCTGGGTGGGATGTGGGGAAGACAGACAAATAATAACTTATGTTTTACTTTTTATTTTTTTGAGACAGGGTCTTGCTCTGTCGCCCAGGCTGGAATTCAGTGGTACAATCATGGCTTACTGGAGCTTCGATCTCCCAGGCTCAAAATATCCTCCCAACTCAGCCTCCTGAGTAGCTGGGAGTATAGGTGCATGCCACTACATCCAACTAATTTTTAAATTTTCTTGTAGATATGTGGTGTTAGTATGTTGCCCAGGCTGGCCTTGAACTCCTGGGCTCAAGTGATACTCCTGTCTTAACTTCCCAATTGTTGGGATTACAGGCGTGAGCCACCTTGTCCAGTCAGAAAGAACTTCTGAATTAGACATTTCTGGTTGAAATCACATCTTCATCTCTACGTATAAGTAAGGCCCACGACAAGATATTTGATCTCTGTGTTCTTCATTTCCCTCTTATTTAAAATGGAAGTGATACCTCAATGGCATCCATAATTAATACTCTAGTAGTCGTTGACTAGTTAGTGTTTTTGTCTATTGGCTCCCATTCTTTCAGTGATGATAGGGTCTAGTGTCCTGCAGTAATAAAGAGAACATTATGAAGAAAGAACTTTATATTATATTAGTTACAATATGTTCTTCATGGCCTAGGAATTCACTCAGGTCCAGTAATACCACAACTAAGAAATAGAGTTTTGATAAATTAATTATAAGCTGAGTTTCCCATTTTTTCCTTCTTCATTTTTCTACCTCCAACACAAAACCATAGTCACCAATATTATATGATTGGGTGAGAAGGATCAGAAATAGGCACTATGTTTACTGAAATATTTTCCCTTTGTCTTGGGAGGTGTCTCTTACAGTGTACTTCCAAATACAACCTTAATGCTTTATAATAGCTGTCGTTTACTTCTTAAAAATGGAAGAATCAGGAGTTGCTTAGATAGGTTGATATTATATTTTATTCCCCATGTCCAGCATTAATAACTAAGGCAAGATACCACATTATTTAGATGTTGTGTATCAACCAATAAAAAATGAAAACTGTGTGGTTACTGTTATTGGATATGCTCAATAAATAAATGCAAGGAAACATATAAAATTACTTATTATACAAGGAGGCATAACTGAACCATTTTCTAAGTCCTGGAAAACCAATGGCTGTCAATCCACGAATTTAAATGGAAAGTGCAGATTACTTTTTAAATTCAGGTGTAGCAATCCTAGTGTAATCATAGCACTTGAGTAGTTTCTTATCTGCATTATGTGAAACATTATGTATATCTGTCTATATATCATCTGATGCATGTGTGTGTGTGTGTGTGTATAGAACTGGTAACATGGATATAAACATAGTTTCTGGAAAATCATACTTTTCTCTTTGTAGATTCCAGCTTTTCTTTATTTTCAGAAGTTTCCTGAAATATGGATATATTTTTTGAAATTTCTTCAATTATCATCTTGCAGTTCAATTCTTTCTATATTTTAGGTCATTTGAAGTTCAGCTAATACATATATAATATTATGACATCTGATGCACATAGATCAAAGATCTATGTGAATCATTATGTATATATGTGAAACATGTATATATGATGGGTGTGTGTGTGTGTATGTGTGTATCTAGAACTCATAACATGGATATAAACATATTTGGAAAATCACGGTACTTTCCTCTTTGTAGATTCCAGCTTTTCCTTATTTTCAGAAGTTTCCTGAAATATAAATATATTTTTGGGAATTGGTTCAATTATCATCTTGCAGTTCAACTCTTTCTATATTTTAGGTCATTTGAAGTTGAGCTAACACATATATAATATTATCACATCCTACTCACATAGATCAAAGATCTCACCCAATGTCAACCTTCAATAATTAATGTCAAGATACAGGAAATCTAAAGACTCAGACAAATCTGAGAGTTTGAATATGCACCTCTGTTACAGAATAATAGACATACTCCACAGGCAAAGTTCACACTATCACCTCCCTTAGTTGGAGCAATTCTATTATGAATCTTCTCTACTTTTAACCCAAGAGTTGTGCAGCTCCTTGGGGAAATATCCATCAAGATTCTGGGTTCCATTTACTACAGGGGAATTCTAGGCAGGGAAATCTTGTTAAGCGCAATTCAGAGATAAATTCTCTCCCTCCTAGAAAATAACACTGGTCTGTTTTTCTAAAGGTCCAGTGAATACAAAGATTAGACCAGGTTATCTGCTTATTCTTTTCCTTTGGGGGCATCACTCTCATGGAGTGACTGGTTCCCAGAGTAGATGCTGCAACTTCTTCCTCCCAGGAGCTAAATGTCACTTTTCATTCTCATTCCTTTCATTTCTTATTTCCTCTGACTTTTCTGTGAGTTTGCCGTAAGTGCTATGGAGATCAATGTCTCTATTTTTTACAATTGTATATCTACTTCTAATATGAATTAAATATTGATATTTTAGTTTTCTCTTCAGGTATCTTTAGTTTTTTTTCAGGTATCTTTTCCTCCATTTCTATAAATAAATCATTTCTTAAAAAAATTCTCTTAAAGACAATCTTTTATATTCAACATTGAACTTCCTAGAATTTATAAGACAGGTATCACCTTCTCCCCTCTTCGCCATCTCTTTCTTCAATATGTCTTTTCCCAAGCAGGTTCTTTGTTCTCATTTTCCATATTACATCAGTATCCTTAGTTAATTTTTAGAATTTTCACACAAACTTTGTAATATTTTATTTCATTGTATCTATATTTTAAATTGATTTTATTACTTTTCACAATAATTTATATAAAAAGTTTTAAAAGTTTAACAGTGCTAAATATAATATAACTCACTAGTATCACTTTCTGTCCTTATTCCTTTCCAAAAAGGTAAAAACTTGTCACTGATTTTAGTGGTTATCTTCCAATTTTTGAAAGAGGCAGGGGAGTCTCTTTCTTGGGTATCAACTCTAGGAGAATATTCACTGGCTGGCATCTGCTTATTTCAACTTCTGACTGTCAAGTGAAGCTCTAATGTGAAGGTTACTTGCACCTGGTAGTCTTGCTAGTTTCTCATTCTAAGATTAAGAAATGAATCACTGACTTCCTACAACATGTGGATGCTAACTCTGTAAGGAAGCTCTTCCACTACACCTGTGTTTCTTTTGACTATAGTTATACCTTCTAGGATATAAAAAGGACCAATTGCTTTACCTGCATTATTTTACTTATTCCACATAACACACCCCAAAGGAAAATTCTTTTCTAGTGATTTCAATTTATATTCAGGAAAATAAAGATTAGACAGTTCATTTCAGGATCTGGAAGAATCTGAAAACATAAATAAATAAAAAGTTCAATCAAAATGCTTAAGTCACTCTATAAGCAATAGAGTTTGAAGTTGAATTTCAAATTGCCTCATTACAGTGCTCTGAAACACTAGGCATTCTAGTAGTTTAGTTGTTAGGGCCAACTTTTTGGAAGAGGAGTACTTTCTGTGACTTAGCTGTTTGTTCATTAGACATCCATCTCACAGGTGCCTTGCCCTGAAGGGTTTCTGTTTATTGTAGACACCTTCTCAGTGAGAAGTCCTCACAACACTTGCTGGTTGCTGCTTCTTATCCCGTATGCCCCAGAGCGTCACTCACATTTCAAAATGAGGGTTCAGAATATGATCTTATTAAGATGTCCTTCCCTGATTTCTCAGCTGTTCTTTTACTGGAGTGAAAAATGAGCATTTGTCCTATGCCTCCTCTGATTTGGCCCTCTGTGCCTTCTAAGAAGCCAAATATGTAATGTTTCTGCCATGTAAATGAGAACATTACTAGTTTTTGATATTAATGAAAATATACACCTATTTGTATTTGTAATGGAACATTTCATATATATCCTCCAGTGATGTGGTTGGATACCAATTTTCATATCACTACTTTTATCCCGTGACTACCTGATATTTGTTTTATTAGGAATGATAGAGGTGAGACAAGATGGCAGATAGACTCCTCTGATTTTGCCACTAACTTATTTACTGCTATTTTTCATAACTTTCAAACACACATACTCTAGTCAAACATGTCAGCTTTTCTCTCTTAATGTCAAGTATGATTCACTGCCTTTGTGTCTGCTAGTCCTCTAATTTTTAATATCTCTTTCACCCTTCTCTGAACTTACCCAAATCCATTCACAGCAACCAGCTTAAGTTATACATACTCCATAATGCCTTCACTGGTTAGTCTAGTTTACAAACATCTTTACTTTGTAATAATGTCATTTTAATTTTTTTAGTCTCTAGGTTTTTATATGAAGTTCAAAACAGTTTACATTTAATTGTACTCTAATTGTTTTGTGTCTCTTAGTTGAGTCTCTTTATTATATGGTCACTAAAAAGAGACCATACCTTTCTCATTTGTTCTATCCCTGACATGAGCTAGCACGGTGTTGTTGTTGTTGTTTCTATGACTGCACATTAGAATCATCTGGGGTGGGGGAAAGTGTTAAAATTACATATACCTGGGTGCCACTCCAGACTAGTTGAATTAAAATCTCTTGGGGTAGGGTAAAGGCACAGATATTGTGTTCAATTCCCCACTAATTCTAATATGTAGTCACATTTGAGAACCTCTTCTGTAGAATTATGCTGAGAATTAGACAGTATTTAGTATGCATATGGTTCAGAATGCATCAGAGAATGTCAAAGGACATCCAGGGATAAGACAAATTTTGAAAGAAGGTTTTAAACTTTAATATGGATAAACAACCATAAAATGTTAATTGTAAATAGTAGCTAATTGGAGCAGAATTAATGATTTAGAGATAATTATTAGAAAAGGTGTAATAATGAAGATCTTCAAGTTTTTCAGGTAGAAGAACTAAAGTTAAATTTGATTTTATGAGTATGTGAAAGTAGGTTCAAAGCCATAGATGTGGACTGACTTTGTCAATTTAGACTCATCTGAGAAAGGAAAAAGGAAATATACCAAGTTGAAAAAGTAAAAGATTTAACTGTCAATGTATGGAAATAGATCTTTGATAATGAATATTTGAAAATAATAAAATAGAGTTTAAGTTGTAAAATGAAGAGTCTATTCAATATAGCTGCAGGCACCTTCCTACCCTTGGAAGATTGGTGGTTTAGGATGTTGGAGGGTATCAAATAGAACTTAAATAATTGTAGCTAAAGGAAGAATTCTATCCAGATCTTACTCTCTTTGATGAGTTGACAGATCCAGCTACTGGTAGGCAATAAGATAAAGAATTTAAAAAGCAAACGTGCCCTAGAGGATGTGGTAGCCAAAAAGTAGACTTGCTTTGGCTTTAGGCACTTAGTATACCAGGGGAACAGTGAAAGAGTAATTTGAGACCCTCCTAGAAAGAAGCAACAGGACTTTTTCTCTCCTTGCTTTGCTCAGTCATTTTCAGGTCCTGCTGGAGCTATGCCTTGCCTGGCTGCTCAGAGACAGAAAAACAAGAAGGACGTTTATTTAAAGTTAATATGCTTCCTGGCATGAAAGCCAAGGCACAATATATGTTAAGAGACTGTGATACAACTAACAGGAAGCTTGTAGAAGAGAAATCCTTGAGAAACAACATGGAAAATGAGCAATAAGTTATCATTGCTCTCATTGCAACTGATTTTGTTTTATAATTTACATTTATCATTTGTAGACTTGTAAATGATCAAGTATGTTTCCATCTGTTTGGTGATCCTCTGAGTTTGCAGATACCAATGGTTAAGCTATGAGAGCTTGATAGATATGTGATAATATATGTAGTTATAAAAGCACATTTTAATAAATATTTACATATGTTAACTTGCTACCTATATGAGCCTTATGAAATTTTAAATAAAGTTTTAAAATCTGATTACAGCCAGACATGGTGGCTCGCATCTATCATTCCAACACTTTGGGAGGCCAAGGTGGGAGGATAACTTGAGGCCAGGAGTTTGAGACCAGCCTGGACAATATAGTGACACCCTGTCTCTACAAAAATAAAAAAAAAAAATTAGCTGAGAGTGGTGATGCACACCTGTAGTCCCAGCTCCTCGGGAGGCTTAGGCGGGAGGATCTTTTGAGCCCAGGAGTTGAACGCTCTGGTGACTATGGTTGTGCCGTGGCACTCCATTCTAGCCAACAGAGCAAGACTGCATCTAGAAAAAAAAAAAAAGGAACGTTTAAAAATAAAATGTAATCTGATTACAGATTATAGCTAGGAAAAATACCATCCTCATTTTATATATGAAAACCATTAGGTACATTGACTTACAAGAAAACAGGTGATCTAAGGTTACTTAGAGAAATCTTACGAAAATCTCTAGTTTTGGGAATATTTCTTGCTTTGGTATACCATAATATAAAGTTATAAATTTGTAAATTTCCATAGTTTTCCTACATGCCCTTGATTTAAACATCTTTTTTTTTAATGGATGGAAAAAATTTTTTTTATTGTACTTTAAGTTTTAGGGTACATGTGCACAACGTGTAGGCTTGTTATATATGTATACATGTGCCATGTTGGTTGCTGCACCCAGTAACTCGTCATTTAGCATTAAGTATATCTCCAAATGCTATCCCTCCCCCCTCTCCCCACCCCACAACAGGCCCCAGTGTGTGATGGTCCCCTTCCTGTGTCCATGTGTTCTCGTTCAATTCCCACCTATGAGTGAGAACATGTGGTGGTTTTTTGTCCTTGCAATAGTTTGCTGAGAATGATGGTTTCCAGCTTTATCCATGTCCCTACAAAGGACACGAACTCATCATTTTTTATGGATGCATAGTATTCCATGGTGTATATGTGCCACATTTTCTTAATCCAGTCTATCATTGTTGGACATTTGGGTTGGTTTCAAGTCTTTTCTATTGTGAATAGTGCTGCAATAAACATACGTGTGCATGTGTCTTTATAGCAGCATAATTTATAATCCTTTGGGTATATACCCAGTAATGGGATTGCTGGGTCAAGTGGTATTTCTAGTTCTAGATCCCTGAGGAATCGCCACACTGACTTCCACAATGGTTGAACTAGTTTACAGTCCCACCAACAGTGTAAAAGTGTTCCTATTTCTCCACAACCTCTCCAGCACCTGTTGTTTCTTGACTTTTTAATGATAGCCATTCTAACTGGTGTGAGATGGTATCTCATAGTGGTTTTGATTTGCATTTCTCTGATGGCCAGTGATGATGAGCATTTTTTCATGTGTCTTTTGGCTGCATAAATGTCTTCTTTTGAGAAGTGTCTGTTCATATCCTTCGCCCACTTTTTGATGAGGTTGTTTGTTTTTTTCTTGTAAATTTGTTGGAGTTCATTGTAGACTAAAGGGCTTCTGCACAGCAAAAGAAACTACCATCAGGGTGAACAGGCAACCTACAGAATGGGAGAAAATTTTTGCAATCTACTCATCTGACAAAGGGCTAATATCCAGAATCTACAATGAACTTCAACAAATTTACAAGATTTAAACATCTTAATGAAAATTAAAATATGAGTCAACCACTCTTCTGGTGTCTTGTCCATTATATTTTATGTTAGAAATTGACAAGTAGCAGCCAGAGAGAAAGGGCAGATCATCTACAAAAGGAAGCCCATCAGACTAACAGCAGAACTCTCAGCAGAAACATGATAAATGATTGGGGCCAATATTCAGCATTCTTAAAGAAAAGAATTTCCAACTGAGAAGTTCATATCCAGCCACAGTAAGCTTCATAAGTGAGGGAGAAATAAAATCATTTTCAGACAAGCAAATGCTGAAGGAATTTGTCACACCAGGTCTGCCTTGCAAGAGCTCCTGAAAGAAACACTAGTTATGGAAAGGAAAAACCAGTTCCAGCCACTGCAAAAACACAGTGAAGTACAAAGACCAATGACCTTATAAAGCAAATACAGCAATAAGTCTGCAAAATAACCAGCTAGCATCATGATGATGGAATCAAATTCACACATAAGAATATTAATCTTAAATGTAAGTGAGTTTAATACCCCAATTAAAAGACAAAATGACAGGCTGGATAAAGTGTCAAGACTCATTGGTGTGCTGCATTCAAGAGACCCATCTCATGTGCAAAGACACACATAGGCTCAAATAAAGGGATGGAGGAAAATTTACCAAGCAAATGGAAAGCAGAGAAAAGCAAGGGTTGCATTCCTAGTTTGTGACAAAACAGAATTTAAACCAACAAAGTTCAAATAAGATAAAGATAATGGTAAAGGGATCAAGTCAACAAGAAAAGCTAACTATTCTAATTATATATGCACCCAATACAGGAGCATCCACATTCAAAAAACAAGTTCTTAGTAACATACAAAGAGACTTAGACTCCCACAAAGTAATAGTGGGAGACTTTAACACCCCACTGTTAACATTAGACAGATCATCAAGACAGAGAATTAAAAAGAATATTCAGGACTTGAATTCAGCTCTGGATCAAGTGGACCTGATAGATATCCATACAATTCTCCACCCCAAAACAGAATATACATTCTTCTCAGTGCCACATGGCACTTACTCAAAAAATCAATTACATAATAAGAAGTAAAACACTCCTCAGCAAATGCAAAAGGACTGAAATCGTAACAAACAGTCTCTCAGATCATAGCACAATCAAATTAGAATTCAAGATTAAGAAATTCACTCAAAACCACACAACTACATGAAAATTGAACAACCTGCTCCTGAGTGACTCCTGGGTAAATAATGAAATTAAGGCAGAAATCAAGAAGTTCTTTGAAACCAATGAGAACAAAGAGACAACCTACCAGAATCTTTGGGATGCAGCTAAAGCAGTGTTAAGAGGGAAATTTACGGCACTAAATGCCCACATCAAAAAGCTAGAAAAATAGACACCCTAACACCACAACTATTAGATCTAAAGAACCAAGGGGAAACAAAACCTAAAGCTAGCAGAAGACAATAAACAACCAAGTTCAAAGCATAACTGACAGAAATACAAATACAAAAAATCCCTCAAAAAATCAATGATTCCAGGAGCTAATTTTTTGAAAAAATTAATAAAATAGACTGCTACCTAGACTAATAAAAGAAAAGAGATGACTCAAATAGAGGCAATAAAAATGATAAAGGGGATATCACCTCTGACCCCACAGAAATACAAACAACCATTAGAGAATGTTATCAACACTTCTATGCAAACAAACTAGAAAATCTGGAATAGAGGAATTCTTGGAAACATACACCCTCCCAAGACTGAACCAGGAAGAAGTTGAATCCCTGAATAGGTCAATAGCAAGTTCTGAAATTGGGACAGTAATAAATAACCTACCAACAAAAGAAGCCCAAGAACTGATGGATTTACAGCTGAATTCTATCACAGGTACAAACAGGAGGTGATACCCTTTTTACTGAAACTATTCCAAACAATTGAAATGGAGGGCCTCCTCCCTAACTCATTTTATGAGGCCAGCATCATCCTGATACCAAAACTTGGCAGAGATACAACAAAAAAATCTTCAAGCCAAATTCCCTGAAAAACCTCAATGCAAACATTCTCAATAAAATACTGGCAAACTGAATCCAGCAGCATATCAAAAAGCTTATTCATCCAGATCAAATTGGCTTCATCACCGGGATGCCAGGCTGGTTCAACGTTCACAAATCAATAACTAAATCAGAACTAAAGACAAAAACCTCATGATTATCTCAATAGCTGTGGAAAAGGCCTTCAATAAAATTCAACATTCCTTTATGTTAAATACTCATAATAAACTAGATATTGAAGGAACATGCCTCAAAATAATAAGAGCGATTTATGACAAACCCACAGCCAATATCATACTGAATGAGCAAAAGCTGGAAGCATTCCCCTTGAAAACTGGCACAAGACAAGGATGCCCTCTCTCACCACTGCTATTCAACATAGTATTGGAAGTTCTGGCCAGGGCAATCAGCCAAGAGAAAGAAATAAAAGTATTCAAATAGGAAGAGAGGAAGTCAAACTGTCTTTGTTTGTAGATGACATGATCTTTATCTAGAAAACATATCATCTCAGCCCAAGAGCTTTTTAAGCTGATAAGCAACTTCAGCAAAATCTCTGGATACAAAATCAATGTGCAAAATTCACAAACGTTCCTATACAACAATAGACAAGCACAGAGACAAATCATAAATTAACTGCTATTCACAATTGCTACAAATAGAATAAAATACCAAGGGAAGTGAAAGACCTTTTCAAGGAGAACTAAAAATCACTGCTCACGGAAATAGCAGTGGATGCAAACAAATGGAAAAACATTCCATGCTCATGTATAGGAAGAATCAATATCATGAAAATGGCCACACTGCCCAAAGTAATTTACAGATTCAATGCTACATCCATCACTCTACCATTGACATTCTTCACAGAATTAGAAAAAAATTACTTTAAAATTCATAAGGAACCATAAAACAGCTAGTATAGCCAAGATAATACTAAGCAAAAAGAACAAAACTGGAGGCATCATGCTACCTCAATTCAAAGTATACTGCAAGGCTACAGTAACCAAAACAGCATGACACTGTTACTAAAACAGACATATTGACCAATGGAGCAGAACAGAGACCTCAAAAATAACACCACACATCTACAACCATCTGATATTCAATGAGCCTGACCAAAAAAAAAAGCAACGGGGAAAGGATTCTCCATTTAATAAATGGTACTGGGAATACTGACTAGCCATATGCAGAAAACTGAAACTGGACACCTTCCTTACACCTTATACAAAAAGTAACTCTAGAAGGATTAAATACTTAAATATAAAACCCCAAACTACAAAAACCCTAGGAGAAAATCTGGGCAATACCATTCAGGACATCGGCACAGGAAAATGTTTCATGGCGAAATTCCCAAAAGCAATGACAACAAAAGCAAAAATTGACAAATGGATCTAATTTAACTAAAGAGCTTGTGCACAGCAAAAGAAACTGTCATCAGAGGGAACAGGCAACCTATAGAGTCAGAAAAAAATTCACAATCTATCCATCTGATGATGGTCTTATATCTAGAATCTACAAGGAACTTAAACAAATTTATAAAAAAAAAACTAAAAAGTCTGCCAAGGACATGGACAGACACTTTTTAAAAGAAGGCATTTGTGTGGCCCAGAAACATATGAAAACAAGCTCAACATCACTGATCATTAGAGAAATGCAAATCAAAACTACAGTGAGATACCATCTCACACCAGTCAGAATGGCAATTATTAAAAAGTTAAGAAACTGGTGAGGTTGTGAAGAAATAGGAACACTTTTACACCATTGATGGGAAAGCAAATTAGTTCAACCATTGTGAAAGACAGTTTAGTGATTCCTTAAAGATCTAGAACCAAAAATACCATTTGACCCAGCAATCCCATTACTGGATATATGCCCAGAGGAATATAAATTATTCTATTATAAAGATACATGCGTGTGTATGTTCACTGCAGCACTATTCATAATAGTAAAGACATGGAATCAACCCAAATGCCCGTCAATGATAGACTGGATAAAGAAAATGTGGTACACATACATCATGGAATACTATGCAGCCACGTGAAGGGACAAGATCATGTCTTTGCAGGGACATGGATGGAGCTGGAGGCCATTATTCCCTGCAAACTAACACAGGAGCAGAAAACCAAACACCATGCATCTTCACTGGTAAGTGGGAGCTGTTCAATGAGAATACGTGGGCGCAAGGAGAGGAACAACACACATTACGGCCTGTTGTGAGGACAGGGAGATGGAATGCAACAGGATAAATAGCTAATGCATGCTGGGCTTAATACCTAAATGATGGGTTGATAGGTGCAGTGAATCACCATGGCACACGTTTATGTATGTAACAAACCTGCATATCCCACATATGTATCCTGGAACTTAAAATAAAATAAAAAAGTTTCCAAGTTGTTGAAACTCTGATAGAGAAAAAGTTTTTGTTTCTTGTTTTTTTTTTTTTAAATGAGGAAGTTTTCTCCCATCAATGTAATCTGCTCTTGATATTCATTTTTATTACATTCTGCAACATACTGATTGTCTCCACAGTATTGCCTTAACTAAATAACAAAACTTGGGGAAGGAAAAAAAAAACATTAAAAATATCCACACATCTGCTTTCAGCCTCTCCATTATTACCGAGAATGTTGTAAATCCCTTGTGTCTGATGACATTAAATCAGAGAGAACAGGCAAAGGAGGCCATGTCAGCATGCTGATAATGCATCTACTATACTGTGGGATCGGTTTATACTCTGTCACTTTGCATTTAAAGGGCACTAAATAGAGCAATTTTGATCTAGAACAAGTTTGTAAAAGTAATTCCACTTTTTGTTTTCTTGTCTGCAACAGCAATTAGTTTATAATAACAAATGCAATATCATAAGTGTCTGACATTTTTTGTTGAATGCATTTCATTGTGTTTGCTCCTTTCTAATTTCATTTTGAACGTTTTAAAACATACAAGATAAAAATAAGAATGATTAAAAAATCTCCCAAGCTAAGCCTTCTCAAATTTAGATCCTATTTTATTTTAAATATACTGGGGCTGTTTATTTTCTAAACTTAGGAGAGTTTATTAATGCTTTCTGAAATTTAGTTTAAAATTTTTGGATTTCAAAGGTAATGCATGTAATCCCAGCACTTTGGGAGGCCGAGGCGGGTGGATCATGAGGTCAGGAGATCGAGACCATCCTGGCTAACAAGGTGAAACCCCGTCTCTACTAAAAATACAAAAAATTAGCCGGGCGCGGTGGCGGGCGCCTGTAGTCCCAGCTACTCGGGAGGCTGAGGCAGGAGAATGGCGTGAACCCAGGAAGCGGAGCTTGCAGTGAGCCGAGATTGCACCACTGCAGTCCACAGTCCAGCCTGGGCGACAGAGCGAGACTCCGTCTCAAAAAAAAAAAAAAAAAAAAAAAAAAAAAAAAAGGTAATGCATGATTGTAGAGAATTTAGGCAATACAAAAAATATACAGAAGAAAATAAAGAGTACTTCAAAGATAAGCATCCAGAAATGATAATCACTATTAATTGTTCCAAACATCACTTTCCAATTATCTATGTGTGTGTTCGTATGTGTGTGCTAAAGTGTATATCAGTCATGGTCCAGTCAGGAAAGAGAGATCACACAGTAATCTTAACAGGAAAGACACAGTATGAGGATTAATTATTTACAGGCAATTAGCTACTAAGAGGGAATAAAAGACAACTGTGAAAAAAGGGAAAGTGAATGAAAAAGGAACCAACTTGACAGTATCCCCCCACCCGCCAAGGATGGGATCTAGATGCCAATGGAGGAGGCACAGCTCCAGCATAAGAGATGGCAATAAAGTTTATTGTGTTACTCTGAAACAGGGCTGGTCCACAGCTGGTGGACCAAGACTACTGTGCAAATACCCCAGGCTGCAACTACAGGAAGGTGAGCACCATTTTGTGTGTGTGGACAACTGCATAGTTAGTCCCTCAGAGGCAAACTGAGTAAAGTGCACTAGAATCAGCAAAAGAAACATCTTCCTTCCTTAGCATCCCTCCAGCACCTCAACTGGCAATAAAGTGATGTTTACAACACCCAGCTCCATTGTGGCAAGCAAGGAAATGATACATTGGCTGGAAAGCTGAGAGGCAATAAATTGTGATAACTGGAACAGCATATCCCCTTCTCTTTAAAAAAATATTGTACTGCATATTCTTTCCTGAAATGTGATTTTTCTCACTTACTGATTTATATTAAAATATTTTGTCTTTATGTTACAATATAATTTTAACCTCTACATAGTATTTCATTACAAGCATATTCCATGGAAATTTTGTGCATGCTCTATCTGTGTAGTCCATACAGGACATACCTTAATAGTCCAGTTAAATGATCTCTGCGAGAAAACACTGACTGGTTCCCTTTTTCTTTGTTGCTTTGGCAATTTCAGTTAGTCCTTTCATCTGATGGGCTTTCTGCCATTGTTAATCAAGATTGTCCTCATATTTGCCTTTGCATTTCTAGGAAAGAAGTCCATTCTCTTAAAAGTTTTTATTCGGAGAAAGTAAATCTTAATGCTGCCTCTTTGGGGTATGTTAGATCACAAAGCCACAGCCATCATGATAGCATTCTATGTATATATTTAACAGTAATTATAAACCTTCAAATGATAATAGGCTTCTATGCCATGCACATATTTCCAGATGGGAGCCGTGGAATACTTGGGTTGGAAATAGTACTAATATTTTCTCTTTTTACATTGAACTACCTTTATTAATTTCAAAATTATTCTTTCTCTTGAGGCCTTTGGTTATTTAATTTATTATCGAAATGAAGAAAACAGTCCTCATACATACATCTCAAAAAAGAAATCAACGTACTGAATGGGTTTTGTTGCCTTTTAAAAATGTAGTAATAATACATGATATATATCTCCAAGATATCAACAAATTAAATGTGTATTTCCTTTACATGATGTGCAAAGCAGAATTTATACTTAATCAATTTAAGCATTGTGAAAGGGGTTGAACAGTAGCCATGCTATTTTTTTTATTTCAATGACAGTGATATATATATGTCAATTTAAAAGGAATTACAAACAAATCTGGTTTAATTAGCAGTTTGCATGGTTATTATATCTAATATTGTGAAATAAGATGAATTAATATAAAAATCACATTTACATATAAAACACATTTATATATCTCAGTTTATAATCTATGTTATGATAAAATAAAAAAAAATTCAATACTATAGAGTAATTCATAAAGAGTATGAGTAAAAGAGGAAAGATGTGGCCTATTACAATGATTGCCACTCAAACATGAAAGCCAAATCCATTGGGGATCTTATAAAAATAAAATCTATTCTTAAACAATAATATTTTTGATATATTAGCCATTATTTAGTATGTATGTTGTGTTTGTGTGCTTAGACAGATAGACATAAAGACATATAATATTCTCTAGATTTGTATTCCTTACTCTAGGAGGGACCTAAATTTTTAAGATTTAAGACAAATTTACTCAATTCCTCGAAATCAATGGTTGACTGAAAGTCCACAGATTTTCTTCTCCCAACTGCTGTCAGTTTACAGGGCATAACATTCTTTCCACTTACATTGTCTCCTGACACCTCCACTCAGATGGACGATTTTCTGTGTGTGCAGTATTAAATCAGATATCCATTTATGCATATATACATGCAGATACATGTGCCATCTTTGTCCACTTTTTTTCCAGAAGCACCACACTGATTGAAATAACTATAGTTTCTCCTTAGAGTTCATCAGGAGCCTCCTCATTTTTTCTTGCAATTACTCTACCTCCCCTCCCTAGACATCACCCACACATCAGCTACTGTGGTTTACATTTTACTTCAGATTAAATATTTTCATGTTTCCCGTTCCATCTGAAACTATTCAATTGCTTTCTAATACTCTTTGATGAAGAGAAACTCCCCAAATGGACCTACAATTTCACATCACTTTGCTAGAGAAGATAAGAGATCTTTTTAATACCTTTCTTCTGATCCAACTCCTGCAATCACCAACCTGTCAGACAGAAGGGTCAGTGCCAGGCCTGCTGCTCCAAGTGACACAACATCTTGTCAACAGACTGACACCTTACCATGCCACAAAGAGACAAGGCCCTCAAGATCCTGGTCCTCCTGAATACCTAAGAGACTAGTGTCCTGGACAGTTCAGCCAGCTATAATTGAACCTGTTATTTCTTTCATATATTCCCCGTTTTCTAGTATTATTTCAAAGCTTCTCTCCTTCCTCCTCCTTTAAATGTTCAGTCTCCTTCGAAGTTCATGTGATTAGACTTTATTTTCTCTGCTGCTAACAACTACCAAACTCTGTTCATGGACCACTCAATTATTAGTAAGTCATTTTAGGACTTGACTTACTCTCTTAATCTGTCTTTGAATCCTATCACCATTATTGACAATTTTAAAATCAACACTTTCTCTCTTAGTTACTCTATCTAAACTGCAATGATATTTTCTTCCATCACTTATCAACTGTCTATGACTATGGTTGAAACATTAATAACTTCTCCCATTCTGAAGTCTCAAAGATAATAATTTCTTGTTCTAGTACTTGATTTTCTCTAGTAAATTCCAGTCTGCAAGTTATACCACCCTATGAAGACATCAAATTGATTTATTTTTCTATATTTTACTAATCATCGTGCATCTCATATTATTATTTTTATACAGATTAGACATATTGTTATGTCATCATACCAATTTCTTAAAAATGTAACCTTGATTTACGTATTCCCCTCTGCTTTGATTCCAATAGTTTAACCATATCCTTACATGGTTAAATCACATTTTGTGACAAAACCATGGCTACATCTCTGTGCAATTGTGGAGAGAAACCTACATGCTGAATTTATTACTTGAAATCTATAAGCATAAATTCCAGATGGAAATTCAATATTACTAGGCATTTTTTTTTCAAATAAGTTGTAATTCCAGTTGATACAGAATTTGGGGGTAGAACAAAGACAAAAGTACATTCTGGTAGCACTCTGGGCTGGGTTGACTTTGACTTCACAGTATGGTAGGAATGGCTGAGTGAGATGAAATGAAGAGACAGTGAGACACTGTATGATTTTTTAAAAACAAAAGTTTATTCTTAAATATACCACAGGCTCCAAGACAACATTTAATTCTAGCTATAGGTGGCAATAGATGTTATGGCAGAGAATTCAGATGTTTAAACAGGAATGAAATCAAAAGGTGCCTTTGCCTCAGGTACAAGGAACAGATTGCTTTTTGCCACATTTCTTAATCCCAACTGTGGCCAGGTGAATCTTTCCTGCAGCCTTTGATTTTAGTTTTTTGAGTTTATTCTGCTCCTCTTTTTGTTTCTGTCCATGTCCCTGGCCAGCTTCTTATGCTGTCGTATGGGCTTCTTCTTGCCACTTTTGTTACCAGACTCATCTGCTGCCCCTTCCTACTGGGTAATATTACTGCGCTTCTCCCATATGTTAACACTTCCTCATTCTTCAAAACAAGTAGTTATCATTGTTAATTTCCTCTCTCCTTAGTCTCCTATATACCTCTGTACCACTATTGTCTTCATTATCGCTATAAATTGGTATCATTTCCATAAAGTAATTGGTAAATATTGACAAGAAATCTACCAATATCCCAGCAACAAGTCTTTCACCCTACCTATATCTGTCTATACCCAATCTTTTAGTTTCTCTTTTCTCCTCTTATACTAGATGAAGTGTTCTTACACTTAAAGCAAAACTTTTTCATTTTTGCTTTGTATTTTTACCTTCTTACATATGTGCTCCTCTAACGTATTCAGTTCCTACATAACCAATTTCTATTCCACTAGATATTCCTATCAGCTTAGAAGCATGCATAGTATATGCTATGTTTAATCAATATCCTACCTTGAGCCATTGTGATTCCCAATTACTGCAGTTTCCCCTAGAAACAAATTTTTTGAATGAATTGTTTTAGTTGTGGCTTAGACTCTTCACTTTCTGCTTTTTTTTTTTCCATAAACAAGACTTTTAACCCTAATTCTCTACTGAGAAACTTTATGTTATTATCACTGATGACATACGTGCTTTAAAATCAAATGGACACATCTTTGGTTTTGTGTTATTAACCTTGCCTAAGAGTAAAGCAATTGTTGATTTTTTTCTGTCCTCATCCACATTACCACAGATGTTTCTTGTTTTTCTTCTATGTCATTGGCTGCTGTTCTCCATTAGTATACTTTATTTATCCCTCTCTTTCTTAGATCGAATTTCAATTTATTCGTTTGCTAAGTATTTATTGGAAACTTATGGGAAATTAGGTACTTAAGATATTTCAGTGAAAAAAAGGAGTCAAGATTATCCTGGGATTTCCATTATACTACATAAGACAGATGAGAGAAAAATAAATGTATATATTTGGTGGTACATTAAAAGTCATAAATGTTATATGAAAATAAAACTAATGATAAAGAAGCATATGAAAAGCTATAAAATATCATTTGTCATTAGGGAATTGCAAATTAAAATAAGGGATCACTATACAACACTTAGGATGGATAAAATAAAATAAGAAAATCTAATAATACCAATTACTTGTGAGGTTATGTAACAAAAGGAAAACCATTCATTGATACTAGTAATTAAAAATGGTATGATCACTTTGAAAGACAGTTTAACAGCTTTTTACAAAGCTAAATGTAATCTAACCACATGATGCAGCAAACATGCTTCTAGATATTGAACGAATTGACTTGAAAACTTGTGTCCATACGAACACATGTACCCAAATATTTATAACACTGTTATTTATTATTGCCAAAAACTGAAAGCAAGCAAGGTGAATGAATAAACAAATTCTGGTATAGTCACACAATGGAATATTATCCAGTTATAGAAAAACATGACTATCAAGCCCACAAAGACATAAATGAATCTTAAGTGCATGTTGCTAAGTAGAAGCAGCCAGTCTGAAAAGACTGCAAATTATATAATCCTAATTATGTGAAATCTAGGGAAGGCGAAATTATAGAGATAGTAAAAAGATCAGTGTTTTTCAAAGTCTTTGGATGAAAGGGACCATTAAACAGATGAAACACAAGAATATTCTATGATGGTGCTGTATGATGCTGTAATTGTGGATAAATGCCCCTATTCACTTATGAAAATCTATACAACTTCACAGAAGTAAGACTGAACTATGATGTATACAAATTCAACAAATCCATTAGGAGATCAAGGGATCTCAGGATAGAATGCAAAATGTGATAAAAAGTAATCTAACTGTATCACAATCATATAAAACCATATCACTGAGTGGATAGGGAAAATGGTACTGTCCCAAGTAACTGGAAATGAGTGGCATATGTAAGAATATTTGCAAAAGAAACTGAACCCAGTACTGTATTCCAACTGATAAAGTTGTTTCCCTTGGGTGTATGGGTTAATATCTGTAATGCTGCTGTGAATGTGTACTGAAATTGAAAAATTAAGTAAAAGTTTGGCAAATGGTGCAAACTATGTTTCTCACTGTTGGAGCAGGAGTTTACAAACAAGCAAGAGAAGAAACCCAGAATTATCTGGGTTTATGGTCATGGATTAGAATTGGAGACATCAGTATGAACTCAGGATTAGCTTAGTATAAATACATATGGCTACATATAGAAATATATATAGTTACATGTAGATACATGGGTTAGCATACATAAATATATTTTCTCATTTTGTAAGCTGAGAGAGCTTAGAAACAGCAATATCCCAGTAACAATGAGTGCATCTATCACCTAGATCTTGGTTTCTAAAACCATTATGCATTAATAGAAACCAGGGCTCCTTGGAGAGATGAATGATTCTAAGAGTAGGCTGGAAAATACACAAGATGAGCCATGTGTAGTTTTAGTGCTAAAAAGTAAGAAAACAATAAAAAAAAAACTCACAAACAACTACACAGACACACACACACACTGTTATGAAGATATATCAAAGGGACATGAAAGCCAACTGAGAGTTCCCAATGCCCAAAGTTGTATCAACTTGACAACAAAATAAATTCAGTAGAATTGGAATATAAACCAAAGCATAACATAAGTGTTCATACACCACACTATATACTGATGAAAACATTTCATATATAAAGATATAAATTGAGGAGGGAGAATAGATCTCCTGTGGAGAAGAATTCCAAATGTTTTATGTAGATACTCCACAGTAAAGAAGGTAGAACATAAATCCTCACACCTTAACTGTGCGTTGCAGACAGTGATTTCCTCTGGAAGAGTACAAAGTGAAAAGGAGGAAATTTTGAAGTAGGGAAATCTGACAAACATTGCCTCAGCCAGGTCAACAAGGTTAACATCAACAGCAATGTCATGTTGATAATATGTACCTTTGACATGATGTAATTACAATGGCACTTTACTTCTGTGGTCTTTCCCTAAAAACACATAAGCCTAGCCTAATCATGAATAAAAATCAGACATATCCCAACTGAGAGACATTATACCAAATATATGGCCACATTTATTCTGGTCATGTAAAGCTGTCAAAGTCATCAAAAACAAAGTCTGAGCAACTGTCACAGCCTAGAGGAACTTAAAGGGACATGACAAATCAATGTAATGTGGAATAAAGAATTGGTCCTGAACAGAAAAAAAGACATTAGTTAAAACTAAGGAAATCTGAGCTATAGACTTTAGACTTCCTTCACAATAATGTATGAATATTTTTTCATTAATTTTACCAAACGTACCATACTAATGTAACATGTTAATAATAGGGGAAAGTCGGTATGCAGAGTCCAGGAAATCTCTGTACTATACTCCCAATTTTTCTGAAAATCAATAACTATTCTAAATTAAAATGTTTATTTAGGAAAAAAGCAAGAAGACAGTAAGGGGTAGGTATGTGTGAAGAGTTTGCGATTTTACATAGGATGGTCATGGTAGGGTTAATTGGTAAGGTGACATTAGAGCACTTGGGGAAGATAGGGGAGTTATCCAAATGTAAACTGGAAAGAGGAGAATTCTAGGCAAAGGGATCAGTCAGGAGAATGGCACTTAGGATGAAGAAGCATGTGTGTTAGAGAAACTCACGTAGCTGGTGTGAAGTTAGTAAGGAAAAAATAGTACAAAGACTTCATGGCCAGATTATTTGGATTTTTATAAAAATACAGATCATGTATGGCCTTGTAGGCCATTGTAAAGGTATTGTCTTTTACAAGAATTGAAATTAGATGTCATTAGAGGAATTTGAACAGAGGACTGACATGAACTGACTGGTATAAAGTACCTCTTTTTCTGTTTTGTTGAAATTAGAGTGTATGTGTTTGCAAGGTTTAGGTGGAGTGTTGGGGACAAGAATGTGTGCATAGAAACTGAGGCAATAATCAATAGCTTACCAACCAAAAAAAGTCCAGGACCAGATGGATTCACTGCTGAATTCTACAAGAGGTACAAGGAGGAGCTGGTACCATTCCTTCGGAAACTATTCCAATCAACAGGAAAAGAGGGAATCCTCCCTAACTCATTTTATGAGGCCAGCATCATGCTCATACCAAAGTCTTGCAGAGACACAACAAAAAAAGAGACTTTTAGACCAATATCCCTGATGAACATCAGTGCAAAAATCCTCAATAAAATACTGGGAAACCGAATCCAGCAGCAAATCAAAAAACTTATCCACCATGATCAAGTGGGATTCATCCCTGGGATGCAAGGCTGATGCAACATATGCAAATCAATAAATGTAATCCAGCATATAAACAGACCAAATACAAAAACCGCATGATTATCTCAATAGATGCAGAAAAGGCCTTTGACAAAATTCAACAACCCTTCATGCTAAAAACTCTCAATAAATTAGGTATTGATGGGACGTATCTCAAAATAATAAGAGCTATCGATGACAAACCCACAGCCAATATCATACTGAATGGGCAAAAACTGGAAGCATTCCCTTTGAAAACTGGCACAGGACAGGGATGCCCTCTCTCACCACTCCTATTCAACATAGTGTTGGAAGTTCTGGCCAGGGAAATCAGGCAGGAGAACGAAATAAAGGCTATTCAATTAGGAAAAGAGGAGGTCAAATTGTCCCTGTTTGCAGATGACATGATTGTATATCTAGGAAACCCCATCGTCTCAGCCCAAAATCTCCTTAAGCTGATAAGCAACTTCAGCAAAGTCTCAGGATACAAAATCAATGTACAAAAATCACAAGCATTCTTATACACCAATAACAGACAGAGAGCCAAATCATGAGTGAACTCCCATTCACAATTGCTTCAAAGAGAGTAAAATACCTGGGAATCCAACTTACAAGGGATGTGAAGGACCTCTTCAGGGAGAACTACAAACCACTGCTCAAGGAAATAAAAGAGGATACAAACAATGGAAGAACATTCCATGCTCATGGTAGGAAGAATCAATATCGTGAAAATGGCCATACTGCCCAAGGTAATTTACAGATTCAATGCCATCCCCATCAAGCTACCAATGACTTTCTTCACAGAATTGGAAAAAACTACTTTAAAGTTCATATGGAACCAAAAAAGAGCCCGCATTGCCAAGTCAATCCTAAGCCAAAGGAACAAAGCTGGAGGCATCACGCTACCTGACTTCAAACTATACTACAAGGCTACAGTAACCAAAACAGCATGGTACTGGTACCAAAACAGAGAAATAGACCAAGGGAACAGAACAGAGCCCTCAGAAATAATGCCACATATCTACAACCATCTGATCTTTGACAAACCTGACAAAAACAAGCAATGGGGAAAGGATTCCCTATTTAATAAATGGTGCTGGGAAAACTGGCTAGCCATATGTAGAAAGCTGAAACTGGAACCCTTCCTTATACCTTATATAAAAATTAATTCAAGATGGACTAAAGACTTATGTGTTAGACCTTAAACCATAAAAACCCTAGAAGAAAACCTAGTCAATACCATTCAGGACATAGGCATGGGCAAGGGCTTCATGTCTAAAACACCAAAAGCAATGGCAACAGAAGCCAAAATTGACAAATGGGATCTAATTAAACTAAAGAGCTTCTGCACAGCAAAAGAAACTACCATCAGAGTGAACAGGCAACCAATGGGAGAAAATTTTTGCATCCTACTCATCTGACAAAGGGCTAATATCCAGAATCTACAATGAACTCAAACAAATTTACAAGAAAAAAACAAACAACCCCATCAAAAAGTGGGCAAAGGACATGAACAGACACTTCTCAAAAGAAGACATTTATGCAGCCAAAAAACACATGAAAAAATGCTCATCATCACTGGCCATCAGAGAAATGCAAATCAAAACCACAATGAGATACCATCTCACACCAGTTAGAATGGCAATCATTAAAAAGTCAGGAAACAACAGGTGCTGGAGAGGATGTGGAGAAATAGGAACACTTTTACACTTGCTGGGACTGTAAACTAGTTCAACCATTGTGGAAGTCAGTGTGGCGATTCCTCAGGGATCTAGAACTAGAAATACCATTTGACCCAGCCATCCCATTACTGGGTATATACCCAAATGACTATGAATCATGCTGCTATAAAGACACATGCACACGTATGTTTATTGTGGCATTATTCACAATAGCAAAGACTTGGAACCAACCCAAATGTCCAACAATGATAGACTGGATTAAGAAAATGTGGCACATATACACCATGGAATACTATGCAGCCATAAAAAATGATGAGTTTGTGTCCTTTGTAGGGACATGGATGAAATTGGAAATCATCATTCTCAGTAAACTATCGCAAGAACAAAAAACCAAACACCGCATATTCTCACTCATAGGTGGGAATTGAACAATGAGATCACATGGACACAGGAAGGGGAATATCACACTCTGGGGACTGTGGTGGGGTGGGGGGAGGGGGGAGGGATAGCATTGGGAGATATACCTAATGCTAGATGACGAGTTAGTGGGTGCAGCGCACCAGCATGGCACATGTATACATATGTAACTAACCTGCACAATGTGCACATGTACCCTAACACTTAAAGTATAATTAATAAATAAATAAAAAGAAGTTGATTCCAACCCTCTTGGATAATTTTAAGGGGTTTAAAGCACCAGTAGAGAAAGAAACTGCAAAAAATAGAAAGCTGGCTGAATAGAAGCCTCCACTGATTGTCCTTCCAGGAAGAACACCAATTTTTACAACTATCCTCACAAAAAGCCACCTTTATAAGAACCAAAAATTAGGTGCATGATCACAACACCTAGTTTTAACTGAAAGAGGTAGGAATGTCTTGAATTGAAGATACCACCCCTTCCCCAATCTCTAGCAGCAGTTGCATAGCCCACAAAATCTGTGTTCTTGGGGGAGGGAAAGCGCAGCAATAGTGGGACCTTGCATTGGAAGTCGATGCTGCCCTGTCACAGCAGAAAGTAACACTGGGCAGAGCTCAGCTGGCACCCAGAGAGGGAAGATTTAGATAAGCCCTAGTCAGAGAGTAATTGCCTACAGGAAATACACTTTACCTACAAAGACATACATAAACTGAAAATAAAGGAATAGAAAAAGATATTTCAGGCAAGTGGAAACAACAACAACATAAAAAACAAGACTAATTATATCAGACAAAATAGATTTCAAGACAAAAGCTATAAGAAGAGACAAAGAAAGTCACTATATAATGATAAAGGGGTCAATTCAGCAAGGTGATATAGCAATTACAAATATATATGCACCCAACACTGGAGTATGCAGATATATAAAGCAAATATTGTTAGAGCTAAAGAGGGATAGACTCTAATGCAATAATAGCTCGAGGACTTCAGCACCCCACTTTCGGCATTGGGCAAATCTTCTCTGCAGAAAATTAACAAAGAAACATCAAATTTAATCTGTACTATTGACCAAATGTATCTAAAGTGATATTTACAGAACATGTCATCCAATGGTTGCAAAATAAACATTTTTGTCCTCAGCACATGGATCATTCTCAAGGATAGACCATATGTTAGGCAGTAAAATGAGTATTAAAAATTCAAAAATTTGAAATCTTATTAAGTATATTCTCTGACCACAATGGAATAAAATTACAAATCAATAACAAGCAGAATTTTGGCAACTATACAAACACATAGAAATTAAACAATATGCTCCTTAATGACCACTGTCTCAATGAAGAAATTGAAAAGGAAATAGAAGAATTTATTGATAATAAAAACACAGCATATCAAAACCTATGGGATACAGCAAAAGCAGCAATGAGAGGAAAGTTTATAGATATAAGTGCCTATATCAAAAAGTAGAAAAACTTTAAATAACCTAGCAATTAGTAGAAGAAAATTAGTATGAGAAAAGAAATAATAAAGATCTTAGAAAAAATAAATGTAACTGAAACAAAGAAAATATAAAAATCAACAAAATGAAAAGTTGACTTTCTAAAAGATAAACAAAATTGACAAACTTTTGGCCAGACTAAGACAAAAAGAGAGAAGACCCAAATAAAAAAATAAAACAGATGAAAAAGGAAGATGCTGATGCTGCAAAAATTCAAAGGATTATTAGAGTTTACTATTCGCAACAATACGCCAAAACATTGGAAAATCTAGAAGAAATGGTTAAATTCCTAGAAACATACAACTTACCAAGAAGAAATCCAAAACCTGAACAGTCCAATAATAAGTATTTAACAAGGTCGAAGCTGTGGTAAAAAGTCCCCCAGCAAATAAAAGCCTGGGACCCAATGGCTTCACTGCTGAATTTTACCAACATTTAAAGAACAGCTAATACCAATTCTACTAAAATTATTCTGAAAAATAGAGGAGGAGAGAATACTCTCAAACTCATTCTATGAGGTCAGTGTTACCCTGATACCAGAATCAGACAAGGACACATGAAAAAAGGAAACTACAGGCCAATATCCCTGATGAACATTGATGCAAAAATCCTTAACAAAATACCAGCAAACGGCATTCAACAACACATTAAAAAGATCATTCTTCTTAACCAAGTGGGAGTTATCCAAAGGATGAAAGGAAGATTAAACGTATGAAAATCAATGTGACACATCATATCAACAGAATGGACAAAAATCATATGATTATTTCAATTGATGCTGAGAAATCATTTAATAAAATTCAACATCCCTTCATGATAAAAACCATCAAGTTACCAGGTCTAGAATGAATACACCTCAACACAAGAAAAACCATATATGTTAGATACATGACTATTATTATACTGAATGAGGAAAAACCACAAGCCTTTCTTCTAAGATCCGCAACAAGACAAGGATGCCCACTTTCACCACAACAACATAGTACTGGAAGTCCTAGCTAGAGCAACAAGATAAACATATAAAGGGCATCCCAACTGGAAAGAAAGAAAACAAAGTATCCTTCTTTTCAGATGATATAATATTTTATTTGAAAAAAACCTGAAGACTGCATCCAAAAACATCTGTTAGATCTGATAAACAAATTCAGTAAAGTTGTAGGATAGAAAATCAACATACAAAAATTAGCAGCATTTCTGTAAGCTAACAGTGAACAATCTGAAAAATAAATTATGAATGTAACCCCATTTATAATAGCTATAAATAAAATAAAATATATATGAATAAACTTAACCAAAGAAGTAAAAGATCTCTATAATGAAAGCTATAAAACATTGATAAAAGTAATTAAAGAGGACACACACAAAAATGGAAATATATTCCATGTTTGTGGATTGGAAGAACCAATATTATTAAAATGCCCATACTACCCAAAGCAGCCTACAGATTCAATGCAATCTGTATAAAACTACCATGGACATTCTTTATGGAAAGATAGAAAATAATCCTAAAACTTATATGGACACACAAAACACCCAAAATAGCCAAAGCCATCCTGAGAAAAACAAGAACAACAACAAATGGGAAGGAATCGCATTACCTGACTTCAAATCATACTACAGAGCTATACCTATATAGTAACCAAAACAGCATGGTACTGTCATAGAAATAAATGCATAAACCAATGGAACAGAAAAGAGAACCCAGAAATCAGTCTACAAATTGACAGTGAACTCATTTTATATAAGGGTGCCAAGAGCATACATTGGGGCAAGAACAGTCTCTTCAATAAATGGTGCTGGGAAAACTGGATGTCTGTATGCAGAAGAATAAAACTAGACCCTTATCTCTAACCATACACAAAAATAAAATCAGAGCAGATTAAAGACTTAAGTCTAAGACCTCAAACTACGAAACTGCTAAGAGAAAACATTAGGAAAAAATTCCAGGACATTGGTCTGGGCAAAGATTTCTGGAGTGATACCCCAAAAGCACAGGCAGCCAAAGCAAACACATGGACAAATGGAATTATATCAAGTTAAAAAGCTTCTGCACAGGAAAGAAAACAACCAACAAAGTGAAGAGACAACACACAGACTTGGCAAAAATATTTGCAAACTATATATCTGACAAAGGATTAATAACCAGAATGTATAAGAACCCCAATCAACTCTATTGGAAAAAAATCTAATAATCTGATTTAAAAATGGGCAACAGGTCTGAATAGACATTTCTCAAAAGAAGACATATAAATGGCAACCAGGTATATGAAAAAGTGCTCAACACCATTGTTTATCAGAAAATGCAAATCAAAGCTATAATGAAATATCATATCACCCCAGTTAAAATGGCTTTCATCCAAAAGACAGATAATAACAAATGCTTGCAAGGTTGTAGAGAAAAGGGAACACTTGTACACTGTTGGTGGGAATGTATATTAATACAGCTACCATGGAGAACAATATGGAGGTTTCTCAAAATTATAAAAATGAAAGTACCGTATGATCTAGCAATTTCACTGCTTGGTATGTACCCAAAGAAAAGAAATCAGTATATTGAAGATACATCTGCACTCCCAGGTTTATTTGAACACTATTCACAATAGCCAAGATTTGGAATCAACCTAAGTTGTCTTCAGCAGATAAATGTATAAAGAAAATGTAGTATATCTACACAATTGTTTCTAATGGAGGAACAAAGAAAATGGTTTACTGAGATGGAACCTACCCCTGGTGAAGATGGTATGAACATTGTTGAAATGAAAACAAAGGATTTAGAATTAGGTTACCAGAGGCTGGGAAGGATAGTTGGGTGTGGGAAGTGGGGATGGTTAATGGGTACAAAAATATAGTTAGATAGAATGAATTAGATCTAGCATTTGATAGCATAATAGGGTGACTATAGTCAAGAATATTGTATTGTATATTTTAAAATAACTAAAAGGATATAATTGGATTGTTTGTAACAGAAAGAAAGGACATATGCTTGAAGTGATGGATACCTCATTTATCCTGATGTGATTATTACATATTGAATGCCGGTATGAAAATATTTCATGTATCCTGTAAACATGTACACCTACTATGTACCCATAAAAACTAACAATTAAAATAAATAAAGTAATGGTAGATATGTTGGAAATAGCAACAGAACTAGAAGTAGAAGTGGAGCCTGGGACTGAATTGCTGCAACTTCATGATAAAAGTTGAATGAGTAAGAAATTGTTTCTTATGGATGAACAAAGAAAATAGTTTCTTGAAATGGAATCTATCACTGGTGAAGATGGTGTGATCATTGTTGAAACAACAACAAAGGATTTAGAATATTACATAATCTTAGTTGATAAAGCAGTGGCAGGGTTGAGAGGTTAGACTCCAATTTTGAAAGAAGTTCTACTGTGGGTAAAATGCTGTCAAATAACATAACACACTACAGAAAAGTATTTTGTGAAAAGAAGAGTCAATAAATAGATGCAGCAAACCTCACTGTTGTTTTATTTTAAGAAATTTTCCCAGCCACACCAACCTTCAACAACCACCACGTTGATCAGTCAGGAGCTATCAACATCCAGGCAAGACCTTCCACCAGCAAAAACCTTACAACTTGCTCAAGGTTCAGATGATCATTAACATTTTTAGCTATAAATTATTATACATTAAGATATATATATCATTTTAATACATAATGCTTTACATACTTAATAGACTGCAATATACTGTAAGCATAACTTTTATATGCACTGGGAAACCAAAAATGTCATGTGATTTTCGTTATTAGAATATGGCCTAGAACTGAACCTGCAATGTCTCTGCGGTATACTTGTACTTTAATAATTTTTCATGAAGTAGAATTTATCTGGGAATGAAAATGAAATGGGTGATGTTGAAGGTTTGAGGAGAGCTAAGAAGCTGTGAAACTGTCATCTTAAATGGCATAAAAGTAAATGCATGTAGGGAATTGTGACGCAACTGGCAGGAAACACTAAGGCCCAATTTAGGTCTATAATTATTAATTTATAATGAAGTAATCAATTAGTTGGGCATTTTTCTTCGTTCATTTTATGTTGTACAAGTTTCAAGTGCAGAGTAGTTATAAAGTTGGATTAAACAGGTTTTGATTTTATTAGGTGACTACAACAAAGCTAGAGACAAGCCAGAGAGTATATGTGTTCAAAAAAGATTATAATAATTGACCATAATATTTAGACTTGTTTAGGAGCAGGGGGAAGATATCAAATATCTCAGTGACAGGAAAAAAATTAGTAGAATTCCTAGTTTGGAGGAGTGGAGTAATAGAGAAAGTGAGTTGAAAGGATAGACAGTAATGATGACCAAAAAGTGAAATGCAGGCAATGTAATCATTCAGGGTCACATTTATTGTTAATAATAAGTCCCGGGGCAATATCATGTGAGTGTGTAGGTAAGGCAGAATGCAGGGGAAGATCATTGGAAGGTAAATTAAGGAAACGAAGGGCCTGAGAGTTATGTATGATTATGTACACGTATACTGAAATCACCAGAATTAAGACTGAAGTAGTGTGGAAAGAGTGATATGGAGCTGGGAACAGATGCCTTGGAAAACATGCGATAGAATACCTGGGATCTGAAGATGACAAAAGCAAATGAAGAGTAGTAGGTGATATAATCCATGGAAATGAGATTCAAAGCTATATCTTTAGGAGACAAATTGTAGAATTTTATAAAAATGGCAAAGAGGAACAAAAGCATTTCTACTACACCTCCCAGCCTAACAATCACCACAATACCTTATACTACCCTAGAGGGCAGCAGGGAAAACACTGTCCTCAGGGAGAAGCCAGGCTTTTAATTTTTATTATAATTATGTTTTTAATTTGTTATAGCCATTTTCAGGGATCTTAACAACTTCAATATACTTAAGGCTCATAAATGGCTTTACTATTACCAGCTTTTTAAAATAAAAATTTCTGCAGAAACATGTTTAGGTAAGCAGATTCATTGGCTAGCTTGTTTTATTTTATAGTACAATGAATTAAGGAAAGCTTTGAGAGAAGAGGTTGAAAAAAATAGGATATTTTGCTGCTCATGGTCTTTAAATTACACATGACATTGTAGAAGATTTTCTGGAATTGAGAAGAGGTGTGAGAAGTATATAGACTAGAATATATTCAGAGCTTGATTAGATTAGTGGGTATGTGGAAGAATTGAGTTATCTGAATGTCTGGTGTTTCTAGGGGTGAATCTATAACAGTATTTTTAAGATTTTTTTTCCTTGTAGATTCAGGACTGGAGAGGCAGGGAAGAGCTAGATCACAGGGAGATTTATAGAGTGGGGCCAGGAACTTAGTTATATTTTCAGAGTAATGTTAAGCCACTGAAGAGTGTGTGCCGATGTTAGGAGTAAAGGTGGGACAGAGAATAGAGTAGTAGATCACCAAATTTTACTTTTAAAAAACATGAGACTATCTTTTGGACATAAAATAGTCCTATAGGGCAGTCCCCCTCCCCACACAAAAAAGATTAATTATAAGGATGTTAAATCAGTTCAGGTAGAAAATGATGAGCATTTAGATTATAGTTTAGATGAACACAAGTAGAACTGATCTCAAGTTGATATTTAACAAGCCATGCTAATACATCAGGAGGAACCAAGGATGATCCCAAATATTTGTCTTTGACTATGGCATGTGCACTTCACTAAGGTGCAAACAATGGGAGATAAACGTTTGAAGAGACTAATGATCAAAATTCTGTTTTGGACAATTAAAGTTTGAAATGCCAAACAATAGAAAAAAAGGAGCACTCTTCCCTAACTCATTTTATGAGGCCAGCATCATCCTGATACCAAAACTTGGCAGAGACACACACAAAAAAGTTCAGGTTGACATCCCTGATGAAAATCTTCAATAAAATACCGGCAAACCGAATCCAGCAGCAGATCAAAAAGCTTATCCACCACAGTCAAGTCGGCTTCACCGCCGGGATGCAAGCCTGGTTCAATATATGCAAATCAATAAACGGAATCCATCACATAAACAGAACCAATGACAAAAACCACATGATTATCTCAATAGATGCAGAAAAGGCCTTCGATAAAATTCAACACCACATTCATGCTAAAAATTCTCAATAAACTAGGTATTGATGGAACATATCTCAAAATAATAAGAGCTATTTATGATAAACCCACAGCCAAAATCATACTGAATGGGCAGAAGCTGGAAGCATTCCCTTTGAAAACTGGCACAAGACAAGGATGCCCTCTCTCACCACTCCTATTCAACATAGTGTTGGAAGTTCTGGCCAGGGCAATCAGGCAAGAGAAAGAAATAAAGCTATACAAATAGGAAGAGAGGAAGTCAAATTGTCTCTGTTTGAAGATTACATGATTGTATATTTAAAAAACCCCATCATCTCAGCCCAAAATCTCCTTAAGCTGATAAGCAACTTCAGCAAAGTCTCAGGATACAAAATCAATGTGTAAAACACACAAGCATTCCTATACACCAATAACAGACAGAGAGCCAAATCATGAGTGAACTCCCATTCACAATTGCTACAAAGAGAATAAAATACCTAGGAATACACTTACAAGGGATGTGAAGGACCTCTTCAAGGAGAACTACAATCCACTCCTCAAGGAAATAAGAGAGGACACAAACAAATTGAAAAACATTCCATGCCCATAAATAGGAAGAATCAATATCATGAAAATTGTCATAATGCCCAAAGTAACTTATAGATTCATTGCTATCCCATCAAGCTACCATTGACTTTCTTCACATAATTAGAAAAAACCTACTTTAAATTTCATATGGAACCAAAAAAGAGCCCATATAGCCAAGACAATCCTAAGCAAAAAGAACAAAGCTAGAGGGATCATGGTACCTGACTTCAAACTACACTACAAGGCTACAGTAACCAAAACAGCATGGTACTGGTACCAAAACAGATATATAGAATAATGGCACAGAACAGAGGCCTCAGAAATAACACTACACATCTACAACCATCTGATCTTTGACAAACCTGACAAAAACAAGCAATGGGGAAAGGATTCCCTAATTAATAAATGGTGTTGGGAAAACTGGCTAGCCATATGCAGGAAACTGAAACTGGACCACTGACTTACACCTTATACAAAAAGTAACTCAAGATGGATGAAAGACTTAAATGTAAGATGTAAAACCATAAAAACACTAGAAGAAAACCTAGGCAATACCACTCGGGACATAGGAATGGGCAAATACTCCATGACTAAAACACCAAAAGCAACGGCAACAAAAGCCAAAATAGACAAATGGGATCTAATTAAACTAAAGAGCTTCTGCACAGCAAAAACCTATCATCAGAGTGAACAGGCAACCTCAGAATGGGGGAAAATGTTTGCAATCTATCCACCTGACAAAGGGCTAATATCCAGAATCTACAAGGAACTTAAACAAATTTACAAGAAAAAAAAAAACATCAAAAAGTGGGCAAAGGACATCAACAGACACTTCTCAAAAGAAGACATTTATGCATCAAACAGACATATGAAAAAAAGGTCATCATCACTGGTCATTAGAGAAATGCAAATTAAAACCACAATGGGATACCATCTCACACCAGTTAGAATGGCAATCATTAAAAGTCAGGAAACAAAAGATGCTGGAGAGGATGTGGAGAAATAGGAATGCTTTTTCACTGTTTGTGGGAGTGTAAATTAGTTCAACCATTGTCAAAGACAGTGTGGGATCTAGAACCTGAAATACCATTTTGTCCAGCAATCCCATTACTGGGTATACACCCAAAGGATTATAAATTGTTCTACTATAAAGACACATGCACATGTATGTTTATTGCAGAACTATTCACAGTAGCAAAGCAGAACCAACCCAAATGCCCATCAATGATAGACTGGGTAAAGAAAATGTGGCACATATACACCATGGAATACTATGCAGCCATAAAAAAGGATGCATTCATGTCCTTTGCAAGGACATGGATGAAACTGGAAACCATCATTCTCAGCAAACTAACACAGGAACAGAAAACCAAACACCACATGTTCTTACTTATAAGTGGGAGTTGAACAATGAGAACACATGGACACAGGGAGGGGAACGTCACACACCAGGGCCTGTTGTGGGGTGGGAGGCTAGGAGAGGGATATCATTAAGAAAAATGCCTAATATAGATGACAGGTTGATGAGTGCAACAAACCACCATGATGCGTGTATACCTCTGTAACAAACCTGCACGTTCTGCACATGTATCCCAGAATTTAAGTATTAAAAAAAAAATTGAAACTTAAAGAAAAGAAAATCTGTTTCTACATGAACTTTTATTTTTAAAATGCTGGCTATAATAAAGCCATATCCCAGGGTTTTAAAACAAGGATAATAATTATAATACTAGTAGTAGCAGTAGTAGTAGTAACAGTTGTAGTAGTAGTGGTAAAGCAAATTTGCAAGTCTTAAGGATATTGAAGTCTTTAAGGTCCTGAAACAGGCTGTAACAGTTAACAAATAATTGGAATGAAAAATAAAAGGCACACTTTGTTTCCCATTAAGATTCAGCCACACTGGCCTTTTTTTCTGTTCTTTGCAATGTAAGCTTGTTACTTTCCTAAGTTTATGCACAAGCTGTTTCTCTACATGTAATGCTCTTCCCCCTTTGCTCTTTTTTTTCCCCATTTACGTATCACTTCAGAAAAACTTTTTTTCCTTACAAGTCAATTTCAGCTGGAAAACCTGCTGTATCCAACATTTCAGTCCATTTGAACTCTCTGCATACTACTTAACACTACCTGACATTGCTTTGCTCAAAAAAAACCCTTAAGTTATATTCACTGGTCCAATCCCAACATTCCAAAGTAACTAACACCAATTAGTGCTCAATATATATTCCTTGATCTTGAAGAATGCAGAAAGTGGATGTTAAGTATTCTTACCACAAAAATGATAGCTATGTCTAGTAATGCAGTTGTTAATTAGCTAGATTTAACCATTCCACAATTTGCATATACTTCAAAGCATCATGTTGTACAGAACAAATGCATATAACTTTATCTGTCAATTTAAAAAAATCATTTAAAAAAGGAAAATTTATAAATTTACACACACACACACACACGCACATATATATTCATTGAATGAATGAGAAAATGGATGAATGACTGATGAGCAACAGTTTGACCCCAATCCTCTCTCTTCACATCATAGCCATAACCCACTCTCATAACCCACCCCAACTCCAAGCACAGTGGGATTCCTTTTAGTACATTTTAAAGTGTTAGGCTCCTTTCTGTATCAAAGGCCTTTACACAATATTCCCTCTCTGCATGTAACACCTTTCTCTATATTTTCCACCTCACCCAATAAACTTGTGTTTATCCTTCAAATTCCAGCTCAAATATCCCCTCCTCAAGGAAATCTTCTCTGTATTCCATGACAAGGGAACTCTTTCATTACAAAGTTTCATGATATGATATGCTGCTATTTTGAGGGGCTTACCAGAGCTTTAGTTTTCTTTTTCACTTATTTTATTTTCATGTTTCTTGACAACAGAAGTGGAAGCTCCACAAGGTTGGGACGATGCCTGTTTTTACACTCAATTGTATCTCTGTCAACTAGACAGGTATTTGGTCTTGGTTCAAAATTATATATTCTTGATTCAACCTCTGGAGCTCATTTAATTGTCTAAATGAAAACAAAAATTTAAATTCCCTAAAAGCAATCAATAAGTCATCAGCCCAAGTCTACATATTTCCTTTCGTAGTCTGTGCCTGAGCTAAGTCAATAATTAGAGCATTTCGAGCTCTAATGAACCATGGACAGCAACTGCTTAGCCTAGTCATCAGCTCTCAAAAAAGCACATGGAAGCCAGACCTTAATTAAAGAGCAGAGCTGTACCAACAGTCCAGTAATCCTTCTCCATACTTGAGTGCTTCCAATAGTAGTTGATAGGAAAAAACTGGAGGTAGCAAGACTAAACTGCCTCGCAGGTTGAGGGTCCATGTTCATTCTAGTGTCAGATAATTTCTAAGGCATCTGACCCTCAAACCTTATGATGTGTCTTTTGTTGTCAACAAGATAGGTCAAATATTTTTTATCTCTGCCCCTTATTCTATCCTTTGATTCCGTTAAAGTTATAACTTTTAAAAAATACAGATTAGACTGGAAATTGGGGGCTATGCCTATTCTCCAGAAAACACTGGTCCTGGTTCTACTCCATCATAATGGATTTTGTTATTTTTAATGAAGTGATAATTGATAATGAATCAGACCTTTAAAAATATCATTTGAACTTAATAAAGAATATTTGTCACAGTATTTTTTCTCATTTTGGTTTTCTTTAAATTATTTCAGGCCAGCAGAGTAAAAGTAAAAAAAAAAAAAAAAGAAAGAAAGAAAGAAAGCCTTCTACTGAAGAGTTATGGAGACCTATTTAGAAATTCTGAGTTACCTGAGCTCTATTTGGCAGCAGAAAATGGGTTTGGAATGGGTCAATACTGTTTTGCTTTGAAAATAAATAAATAAATTTCGCTTTCTCTTACCTAAAAACAAAATAATATCCACAAAATGAGAATTCAACCAGATGTCATCATTTGGAGCACGCAGCATATATATACCAACCTGTATTCTAAGCACTTACCATACGTTATTTCATTTAATCTTAAGAGTAACCATATATATTTGTATTTTTCTTATACTTGAGACTCAGAGAAAATAAATCTCTTGCTAAAGCAAGTGCCAAAAGTGAAATTTGAACTCCATATTGATTTTTACTGCATGAACAGTAACAGAAAGAGTCAAAAACACTAAGATTAAACAATAACCTTTGCTAACATGGTTAACATCTGTTGAACAACAAGAACAAACAAACACTATAATAAGCAAGTGGGAGAATTATGGAGTTTATTTCTGACCCTCTCTGGTGGTGCATCTAAACATGATAATTCCCATTTAGCAGTTACAATAACCAATTGTTTTCTTTACTTTGCAATTCAAGAATATTCAGGAAATAGAATATCAGATGTTTTAATCATGAAGCTTATAAACATCCTGCTGTTGTCAACCAAAAACACCTTCACAGTTGATTGTTACAGCTCAGCTTCATCCATCCGTACCTGAATAATGTTTGACGCAGGATTTTCAGTTAGGTATTGAGCTATAAGTTGCTTTTATTTAGCTTTTATAATTTCTGCCAAAGACTAACTAAATCTCAGAGTAAATGATGAGATGATCATTCAGCATGCATTTTGTTTAGTGTTTAATATGCCTCAGATGAAATCCACTGAGACAATTCTCTCAGTGTTCCACCTTCTGTTTATACTGTCTATACATGCAACATAAATGTGTTCTTGAGCCTAGATGGACTCTAGAAATAATACTTGACCTGAGGTAAAATAATTTTATGTAATACCATGTTATGTTTGAAATTTATAAGATTGTGATATTGGATTTTACAGCTCTATAATGTATTCAACATGCAAGTGAACTATTTTTGGAATCATTGTGCTGAAATGTAACTGATGGCTTTGGTGGAAAAATTTAGCCTTAAGTGAAGCATATAAAAAAAGAAGGCTTTAATTTGCTGATGTTTGGGCTTCAGAAGCTCTTAATAGTGTAGCATAATTTTGTTAATGACTTTTGGCTATCATTTGCTTCAACTTTGAACAAAATACTTTCAATGCAAATGTTGAAATATGCTATACAATTTTAAGAATTAAGATAGATGCTTATTGGCCTAGAAATTCCAAATAGGTAAAACAGAATTAAAATGTCTGAAACAGATTAAGAACAAATACGAATCAAGTGGGTTATAAGGGTTTTGTATATATGAAGAACTCTAACAAATCAATAAGAAAAAAATAAACATATAGAAAAATGCCAAAAGACATGAATAGGAATTCATGAAAAAATAAATATGTAACACAAATAAAATATGGAAAATATTCAATCTCAGTAATAATTGAATATATGCAAGTGAAACATGTCACATAATATTTTAACTTGAATAAGTCAGTACAGATTTTAAAACAGATAACATTTATTGATAAAGCTATTCAGAAATGGGCATTTCATGCCAGATGAGTGAGGGTATAGTTTGGTACAAACTTTAAGTTTAATTTGGAATAACTGTCAAAATCCTTAAAACACATTTAACTTCTGTCATAACATTTCAGTCAATCTCATGCCAACTCTGTTATCTGGATGGGTCCAAAATTCTAGATGAGTAAGACAGAGAGAGCTATCAAAGTAGCAGGTTATTAAGTTACTCAACATTTTTCATGATCCATGCTTTCTTCCAAGCAGCAATGTCTTTGGAAGACATTGGCAAGGAAAACAGATATTGAATTCTGTAATATATTACTTAGACTTGTTGGATCACAGCAGTTTAAGCAACATATCAGATATTCTAGGGCTTTCCTGAGCATGCAGACTATGTTGAAACTTTTATATGTGTTTAAATCCTCTTGTCTTCATTTCATATCTGCATGTTTTGCAGAGAAGCTAACTAGACTAAATGTGAGCCTACCTTTATTGTATTATATTTTACACTGTCTTATGATTCTAAATGCTATTACTAGAAGACTGGAGTCATATTGTCTGGGTAATGCAGAGTAGAGTCAGATTTGCCTTAACTAAACAGAGAAGTTTGTTTCTAGCAGGTGAGATTTTTAGTTTTCTTGACGTCTCCCATTTTAAATAATAAATTTGTTTTAGAAAAGCTTTAAATTTGCAGAAAAAAAATTGAAGATAATACAGACATTTTCCATGTACTTTACACTCAGTATCCCTGATTATTAAAAACTTTATATTTATATGGTATAATACATTTATTAAAAAATCATAGTTTGTAGGTTTCCTTCTATAAAAATATCCTGGTCTTTACCTATTCAATCCCCATCCCCCAAATTTTGACAGGTCGTGGTCTGTTTTCCATTTTTGCAGTTTTACCTTTTCCAGAATATCACATAAATGGTCATCTATTGTAGGCATCTCAGAGCAATTTCCTTCACCTAGTAATATATGTTAATCAATCATTCATGTCTTTGCTTGGTGTGATTGCTAATTCTTTTCTGTTGCTAAGTTAAGTATTCCATTGGATGGATGTACCCCATTTGTTTATCTATTGAACAATATCATTTATGTTTCTGGTGATTATAAATAACTATGATTTCTCCCTTCAGAAATGAAGGAGAAATAAAGATATTCTTAGATGAAGAAAAACTAAAATAATTTGCCACTCACAAACAAATCGTTAAATATTTACTAAAGGAAGTTCTTCAGACATAAAGAAAACTATAGCAGAAAAAATATTTGGGAAATAAGAAAGAAGAAAGAAAAGTGAAAATACAGGTTCATACAACTGATTATTCATCTCATGGGTTTTAGAAATTATATTTGGTAATTGAATCACAAATTAGTGTGCCATTTGATATCAAGGCAATGATATTTAATATTAATAGTAGGGAAGGTAAGGGGATATTAATAGAACTGTTTCCACAATGCACTCAAAGAGGCAAAATGTTGATATCTGGAGGGTATCATAAGATTATACACATATATCCTTATATCCCAGAGCAAACACTGTGAAAAACATACAAAATAATACACTTAAAAGTACTATCTATAAGGTAAAACTCTAAAAAATGTTCAAGTAACCCACAGGAAGATAAAAAAAAGAGAAACAGAGAAATGAGTACCAGAGAAAATAAGCAGAAAACAAATAATAAAATGGTATAATAAGTTGTAACATATCAATACTCTTCTTAAATGTTAAGTGGTTTAAATACATGAATCTAAAGAGACTGGCAAAGCAGATTTTTTTTAAAATTAATGCCCCAACTATTCAACCACAAGCTTTTAACAAGAAGCTCTATTTTCACTTTAAAATTAACAAGATAATTAGGTTGACAGTAAAAGGATGGGAAAATATATTATTCAACATTAATGAAAAAAGTAGGAGTAGTTCTATTAACATCTGATAAGGTAGACTTCAGAGCAAAGAAAATTGTGAGACAAAAAAAGACTATATAATGACTAAAAGATCAAAGATCAGTCTACCAGGAAGATGTAATGACCTTAAACGTGTACACTTCACATATTAGGGCCTTAAAATTGTATGCAGCAAAATTGTTATCACTGAAATAAGTGATAACAAATCACTCATGATAGCTGGAAACCTTAAACATCCTCTTTTCAGCAACCGATAGAACTACTGGGCAAAAAAATCAGCAAAGATATACAATAACTGAATCAGCCAATAGAATCTGTGTGACATTTATAGAACATTCCAAATAATAACAACCAAATGCATATTCTTATGACACACCCATGGAATATTCTCTAAGAGAGACAATATCCTCAGCCATAAAACTTTAATACATTTAAAATTTGAAAACTTACAGAGTGTATTCTCTGGCAATGTAGAATCAAATTAAAAATCAAATAAGACAAAACCTAAATATGTAAGATACTAAACTACATGGTTCTAAATAAATGATGGGTCTTAAAAGAAAATTAGCTATATGTAGAACTACAAGAAAAGCCAGTTGCTATATATCAAAATATATGAGATGAAGGTAAAGCAGTGCTGGGGGTATATTTATAACACTAAATGTTTACAGTAGAAAAGATTGAAAAAACATAAATCAATAATCTAAATCTGTCCTAAAGAAACTAAAAAAAAGAGAGAAAAAAATACCCAAAGCTAGCTAGAGAAAGAAATAATAATACAAAAATCCTTGAGATTCAAAACAGCAAGAGAAAATACAAGTGAAAAAAGATGATTCTTCAGAAAAATCAATGCAATTGATAAGAATCTAGCAAGACTGACATAAGCAAAAAGAAGATACAAATCACCAATATCAATAATGAAATAAGATATATCACTTAAGATACTATAGCTATTAAAAATATTAAATAAATACTATTAACAACTTTGCACTGTGAATTCAAAAAATTATAAGGAACAGACCAACTCTGTGAGAAGTTAAAACTACCAAAACTCACTGAAGATGAAATAAACAATCTGAAGTGTCCTGTAATCATGGAAGAAATTGAATTTAGAAATTAAAAACTCCCTGTATAGAAATACTCAGCCCCAGTTGGTTTCAGTGGAGAAGTCTATCAAACATCAAGAAAGATGTAACACCAATTTTATACTATCTCTTCAGAAAATAGAGTTCATTACCTTGATACCAAAACAAAGATAACGCAAAATAAGAAAACTATAGATCAATATCTCATGTGAAAAAGGAGGTAAAATCCTCAACAAAATATTGGTAAATAGAACCCAACAACATACAAAGATAATTATGTACCAGGATCAATTGGAATTATTCCATTTGTACAAGCCCAGTGCAATATTAGAAAATCAATCAATGTAATTTCATCACATCAATAAAGAATAATTGTATGATCATATATAGTAATGTAAAGAAAAGCAAGAAAAGCATTTGACAATATTTGACACTCATGCATAATAAAAGCACTTAGGAAACTTAGAACAGAGGGAAACATCCTCAATTTTTATAAAGAGCATCTACAAAAAACCATACAGCTAACACCATACTTAACAGTGAGTTATTGGACACTTTTCCCCTAATATAGGGAACAAGGTAAAGGACAGGTACACTCACTACTCTTAATTAACATAGTGCTGGAAGTTCTAGTCATTGAAATAGGAAAGAAAAAAAATTAAATGGTACTTTGGAAAGGAAGCAATAAAATGGCCCCTATTGCAGGTGGTATGATTGCCTAATTAAGAAATTCCAAGGAATCTGCAAAAGTACTTCTAGAACTAACAAATGAGTTCAGAAATGTAGAATAAAAATAAAAAAATAAACGTTATTTACATTTCTATATACCAATGAAAAACATGAAGAAACCAAAATTAAAAACACAATACTACTTAACTTTTCATTTATCCAAGAAAATACATTTTTTTTTTTTTTTTGAGATGGAATTTCACTCTTGTTGTCCAGGCTAGAGTGCAATGGTGCGATCTTGGCTCACAGCAATCTCTGCCTCCCTGGTTCAAGCTATTCTCCTGCCTCAGCCTCCTGAGTAGCTGGATTACAGGCATATGCCACCATGCCCAGCTAATTTTGTATTTTTAGTAGAGATGGGATTTCTCCATGTTGGTCAGGCCGGTCTCAAACTCCCGACTGCAGGTCGTTTGCCTGCCAAAGTGGTGGGATTACAGGCGTGAGCCACCGTGCCAGGCCAGAAAATACATTTTTAGGTTATTCATTGATAAAAACATATCTACAGAATTTCTATGTTGAGAATTAACAATTGCTTATGAAAAATCAAAGGCCTAAATAAGTGGAAAGATATATGTTCATGAATTGGGAGAATCAACATAGTAAAAATGTAAATTCCCTCCAAATTGATTCATAGATTGTATGCATTTTCTATCAAAATCTTAGCAAGAATTTGCATTTTTGAAAACAGAGACACACACGCTAAAATTTATATTAAATAGCATGGAACCTAGAATACCTTACAAATTCTGTACAAAAAAATAATAAAATAGGAAGAATTACTCTATGCAATATTATAGATTACTACATAAGTACAGTAATCAAGACAGTGTAATGGGATATTGGTGGAGAGACATTTTGATGAATTGGACAAAATAGAGTGTCCAGAAATGGACCCTCACAAATATCCTCAATTGCTTTTTTTTCTATGAAGATGCAAAAACAATTCAATAGAGAATATATAACCTTTTCAACAAATGGTACTGGAATAACTGAGTTTCCATAGTCCAAAAAAATGAAAATTGTCACAAATCTTATACTTAAATAAAATTTAACTCAAATTGGATTATTGATATAAAAAATATAAAGTTTTTAGAATAATAATATGGAAAAATATTTGGGGTCTAGGCAAAGAATCTGACTTGAAACCAAACACATTATCTATAAAAATAAACATTAACCAATCAAAACCCATCAAAAGTGAAAAATTAGCTTTGTAAAGGCCAATGCAAAAAAGATGAAAAGACAAGCCATAGACTTGGACAAAATATTTATAAAACACATATTTGACCAAAAACTAGGGTCAAGAATATACAAAGAACTTTCAAAACTCAACAGTAGCAAAGCAACCTATACAAATGAACAAAAGACATGAACAGACATTTAAACGAAAGTCATGAACAGACGTTTAAACCAAGAGGATAAACAGATGGCACATATGCACATGAAGAGATGTTCAACATCATTAGCCATCAGGGAAATGCAAATTAAAACCAAAGCGAGACATCACTACACACTTTTTAGAATGGTTAAAATAAAAAATAGTAATGACACCAAATTGTGGCAAAGATGCAGAGAACGTGAATCACCCTTGGATTGCTAATGGGAATGTAAAATGGTACAGCATTTTACATTTTATTTGGAAATCCGTTTGGCACTTTCTTGTAAAACTAGACATGCAATTACCATTCAATCTAGCATTTGCAATCCTGGGTATTCATCTCAGAGAAATGAAACTGATGTTCACATAAAAACCTGTGTAGGCATGTTCACAGCAGTTGGAAGGAGTCCAGATGTTCTTTTAAAAAACAAACAAAGAGATGAATGGTTTAAAATCTGAGATATATATATATATATAAAACTCAGCAACATAAAGGAATGTAGTAATGATATAGGCAACAATTTGAATAAAGTCCCAAGGAAGTATGCTTAATTGAAAAAAAATTCCACAATTTTACATACTGTATGATTCCATTTATGTAACAGTTTTTGTTTTGTTTGTTTTGTTTGTTTTGTTTTGTTTTGAGACAGAGTCTCACTCTGTCACCAGGCTGGAGTGCAGTGGAGTGATCTTGGCTCACTGAAACTTCTGCCTCCCAGGTTCAAGCGATTCTCCTGCCTCAGCTTCCCAAATAGCTGGGACAACAGGTGTGCGCCACCACGCCCAGCCAATATTTGTATTTTTAGTAGAGACGGCGTTTCACCATGTTAGTCAGGACGGTCTCGATCTCTTGACCTCGTGATCCGCCTGCCTCGGCCTCCCAAAGTGCTGGGATTATAGGTGTGAGCCACTGCGTCCAGCCTAACAGTTTTGAAATGAAAAAAAAAGAGAAAGAAAGAAATGGAGAACAGATTATTTAGTGGTGACCAGAGGCTAGGGACCAAGTAGGAAGGAAAAAGTGGCAGTAATTAAAAAAGAACTCCAAGGTCCTTGTGGTGTTGGGATTTTCAGTATCTTTATTGTGGCATTGGGTACACTAGTGTATACAGGTGACATAATTGTGTAGATGTAAATATACAAACAAACAGGTACAAATAAAACTGAGGAAATCTGTATAAAATTGGTGGGTTATATCAATGTAAATAACTTGGTTGTGATAGTATACCATAGCTTTGCAAGTTGTTACCACTGGGTAAAACTGAATAAAGGACACATGTAATCTTTTTGTATTATTTCTTAAAAGTTTATGTGAGTCTAGAATTATTTCAATTAAAATGTCAATTAAAAAATCATGGGGCCATATCAAATAGACACAGGAACTATCTTGAAGGGACTTCTATTTGTCAAATCCAGGACAATAATAACATCAAAAATAATTATAATAACAAAACCCATTGAAAACAATACCCATGAGCCATATAGATTCAAATAAGTAAGTGGGGAGATAGAAAAACTGCCTTAAATATGTCAACTAATAATAACAGAAAGTATAGATGCTAAAACACATGGGTGAGATTTTTTATGAAGAATATGATATTATATAATCTATTCCTAAATTAATTATTAATTACAGAAGAAAAGTAATAACTTAATGGTGAAGAAACCTGAAGAATAACACAAAAATCATTAAATGTAAAAATCACCAATATTAGAACAAAATAACAACATATGCCTCCTTATAAGATGTATGTAGAAATACAGATCACTTCTATTTTATTCCTGACCACAACGTATAATCTAAATTTAATCACAAGGAAACATGCAAATTCAGATAAAGGGGCATTCTACAAACTATCTTTTCCTAACTCTCAAAAATGTCAATGACAAGAAACAAGGAAATGTTGAGAACGTATTCTAGAATAAAGAACACTAAAGGGCCATGAGAACGAAATCATGAGTTGGTCCAGGTTTTCATCCTGGTTCAAGAAAAGATTGTTATAACAGAAATTGTTGGAATAATCAATTAAATACTGATTATGATTCAGACAACAATTTTGCACCACTGATAATTTTTTTAATTTTCAAAACTTCACTTTATTTATAAAAGTGAATGTCTTTATTCTTAGGAACTAGATGCTGAAGTATTTCGGGATAAAGAGACATTGTTTCTCCAACTTATTCTCGAATAGTTCAGCAAAGTAAAATAATTTGTGCGTGTGTGCACCTGTGCACACACATGCAGGAACTTGTATATAAGACAAGAAAGTGAGGAAAAGGAAAGAGAGAGAAAGACAGAGAGGAAAGAGATTAAAATGTGAACAATAGTAAATACAGGTAAACTGCATATGGGAATTCCTGTACTAGTCTTGCAACTTTTCTGTACATGAGAAATTATAACGAAACAAGTAGATATGAAAAACTGTGTAGTGTATTAGACAATTAAATATCAGAAAGTTCTGTGGCACAAATATTTCTATAAGCATGGACATGTTCTCAAATATATTTTAAAAATGGATATGGCATAATTCACACACAAAATTTGAACGCACACATGGTTTTAACAATGATTGTAGGTAACAATTCAAATTTTTATTTGTTCTTCTTTTTCTTTTGCTTGTTTCTGTAATTTCTCTGAAACACATTTTGTTTTTGTAATAAAAATATTTTTAAAGTTATATAAAAACAAAATACTCTTTCACTATACACATTCCAGGAATAAGCTGTTTTTTTTTTTTAATGTGTTCTTTTAGGGTGTAATTTTTAGTATTGGGCTATCAAACTTTAGAGTGGTGACTATATTCCATTGCTTACCAGTGGTAACCAACAGTGAATTTATTCTACCCCTGTTATCTAGTTTTCTCCCCTGATAGTATTTAATCTTGATTCACTAGAGCTATGTTGGTATGCTACTAAAATAAGAATTAAAACAGGAAAAGTTTTAACTCTAACATAAATGTTCATAGAATCTAAACAGTACAGAACCAGTGTTACAAAACACACACACAAACACAACACATGCACAAACATTAAATTTAAGCCATTTATTCTTGATATATAAAATGGAATAACTAAAGGGATTCTTCAAATTCTAAACTCTCAAACTAATACATAAAACATTGAAGTATATAAAATAAATTTTGCTTGTTCAATAAAACACTAGCATACTATACTTACTTTCCTGGGTTTTGTCAGGTATACAAGTTATCCAATATTACATGAAATCTGAGCACCAAATGGGAATTGAATAACCTTTTTTTAATGGGTAAATGGAATAATAATTCACCATTATTTTTATGAATATGTTAACAAAATTTTAACAACCGCCAAATCCCTTTTATAATGACATATTTTAAGTCAGCTGGGTATAAGAACATATTACAAAGAGATGTCATCCTCTTACCAAAAGGTCACAGTTCGTCCCCTGTGTACCACTTGCCTTTTAAGAATGCATTAAAGGTAGTAAGTAACAGAGCTTTCAAGGCACTCAGCAAAGAATTTACATACGAAAATTTAAGAGGTGGCAGCCACTCAACAGTGGCAGAATTCTATAAAGATATTGAATGACTGAAAGTGTAAGTTTCTCTCTGTAGAACCTTTCTCAAGCATGGTTTTATAGAATCAGCATAATGCAACTTCATAACTGGTTTATATGAAATATTTATATTCTGCAGCTTTTCACATTAAATTATTCTTGTTTCCGCTAGGTAGTTCTTAAACTGCAAATTCCTACTGTAACAATTGACATAGAATCATGTGCTTTCTTTCTTTTTGCTATTGCTGGGAAGAGCAAAACAGAATTGTAATCATCTCTGAATATGCAACCTCTGTGAAAGTACCATAACTATTTTCTTTTCTTTGACTTTCCAAACCAATTAGGCTATAACCTTGCATTTGATTATCTTTTAATATGTCAAATTATATAAATAAGAGAGCTATATCTATTTGAGAATATGCAACACACACACACACACACCTACACACACACACACCAATCCCCTCTAAGCAGAGTAATTGTAGTATTAATCCTGTCACTGTATTCTTCATACACAAGTATGTAAAATTTAAAGACTAGTGAAATAAAAAGAGTTAAAAGAATCATTTATTTTTAAGCCAGACAATAGAGGAGACAGAAAAATTGAAAAGTGAATTAAAGTTAATAAAATAGTGTAAGAAAGAAACCTATTTTACAAATTGGCCATGTAGTAAAATACAGAATATGGGAAGAATAGTTGGAATTTAATGTGGTCTCTAAGCAGCTTGAGATATTGAACTCATTTTTATCTTCTCATAGAAAAAGAAAGAGAATAAATCTAGGTTGTAACAGAAGCAGTGAAAATTATCATTATCATCAACTATTTATTGAGCACTGTCTATGTGCATAGATTCACAATTACAGTCATTGATCAAAAGCAGGTAAGGTAATGCTGACCTTGGAAAATCTCAACATGGTGAAAAAAGTAAACAAGCAACTACAAGTAATTCTTTGTGCTCAAACGAGGACTCTTTTTGGGGGAACGGAGAAGTAAGGGGGAGAAATTCCTTTATTTAAATGGCTAATACATTATTAACACGTTTTTGAAGTATGAGTTCATGCTTGGAATACAGCTTCATGTTGCATGCCAATTTCAGATTGTTTCATTGTCTTATACATTTATCAACATTTGCTTAGAAAGGATGACTATTTTTCTCTATTCCATCTTCTCCTGTAGCTTACCCTCTATTTCTATGTTTCATTATTCAAAATATTCTTCCACACATGCATTTCTTTTCCTCAGCCTGCTTTCTAATGTGTAAAGCTGTTTTATCAGATAAGAAAACTTCACTTTTCCAGTTATAATAATAATCTCTTAGCATTGGAAGATGACTTCCAATTCCTTCCATATATAGAAATTTCTTCTATAACCTGATAATACTGTTTAGAATGTTACTACTCCTAATAGTTATGAACCCTTTAGTGGTGATGTCTTAGTACTGTAATTCTCAGTGGGTGATGAAAAAATGATGTCCAAACTCAATATTTCTTAATTAATCATAATCATTCATTTTAGGATAGGAGTATAATGAAGACTCTTATGGAGTCAGGCTAAATGATCCCAGAAACTATACTTTATTCTTCTAATCCAAAATTATAAATGTGATTTTGCAGTTTGCCTATTCCCTTTGATATTTCCAGCTTTTCTATGTTTTTGAATGCCAACATAGTATGATAGATATAAGGATCCCTGGCATACTAGCCCACATGTATATTTCTTGAAACTTGAAAAAAGTTATCTCACATGTATAAAGATGAGAAATTTCTATTCATGTATATAAGTAATGTCAGAAATTCTCATGGGAGGTGAAGAAATTTGGTTTTGTTCAAGCCAAGTCATTGCATTAGATCATACAGAAGAGGCATTGTTTATGTGTTTTTACAACTTATTATTCTTTCTCTAACACTGCTTGCAGTATATAAGCAGTTCCTTAAATTTGATGCTTTTACTGTACCAATGTTTTTTCAGTTGCTAAAGTATCATAACTCATAGACACCCTAAGGAACTCCTACTGTGAATACCTTAGTTCTGAAGGATTGTTCTCCATACTGATGCTCTTGCATGATGGAGAAAGAAAGTACTCCAGAGGCAAACCTTCATTTTACAGAGGAACACATTTAGGTGCAGAAAAATAAAATAAACTGCCTAATCTCACACAGATAATAAATTAGTGCTCTTTCCAGGTCTAGAACTCAAATGTATTGGCTCACATTCCACTCTTAATTTCATTATTCAAGTATATTCAAGATATTACTACTAGTCAAAGTTTGAAATAAATTTCTAAACTCAGTCTTCTTGGTTTTACATTTCCTAGGTTTTCAGAGATTCTCAACATGAGTTGTTTAGAAATGATCTGGGGAAAGCATGGATTTGTGTGTCTGGATCTCTAGATTGATTCAGCCTGCAGAGTCTTTTATTTTCAGAACTTAGATTTTATTACAAATTAAATGGGAATGCCCCACTGGAGGTAATGCTGATTAATACATTCAGCATTAGCTGTTGAGAATATCACTCTGTTTGCTGTGATGAGGAAGAAGAGGTCTCATCCACATTGGACTTCAGTGGTTTATATCTGGAGGTTTACATATATTTATATCTGCAGTAGATAGTATGTAATTATCTAGGTCCCAGAAAGTTCTAAGAAGTTGAAATGAAGTCATTGAAAAATATTCATCTAGATAGCTAAGGTTGTATGAGAATGAGGTTGAAAAGGAGGACTGGAAGCAGTGGCTGTTGGCAAATTATAGCTACTTCTAGGGAAAGCCTTGCGAACTTTCAAGTGAGGTAATTATCTGCTTTGACTGCCTAACAATATCTTTCTGACTCTTCAAAAGCAAGATGTATCTACACAGATTATTTTTCCCACTTACAACACATGAAAATATCGGAAGCTCACTGATTTTATCATCATGGTAGACTTTACAAAAAAAGTAGTAGAGACCCACTTTATGTATAGTTTAAAAAAAAATGTCAACTTTTGAGCAACAGGTTTGACATAAAAATTCTTTCTTTCTTTTGACAGGATTACAGTTGGTTGTCCAAGCTGGAGTACAGCAGCATGGTCATAGCTCACTGGAGCCTCCAACTCCTTGGTTCAAGCACTCTTCCTATCTCTGCATAGCTATGACTACAGGTACATGCCACTACACCTACCTACTTTTTAAAATTATATTTTTATATATAGAGTCGGGATCTTGCTTTGTTGCACAGGGTGGTCTCAAACTTCTGGCCTCAAGTGATCGAACTCAGCCTCCCAAAGTGCTGAGATTATAAGTGTGAGCCAGTGTGCCCAGCCTAAATTTAGATTCTGAATTAAGGAATTAATAAAATGAAACTTGATTAATGGAAAAGCAATTCTTCATTTAGAAAAAATCGTGGTATTGTTATTAGTTTTCCTTTATTTCTTAGCTCTGCTGCTCCATCTTCAAAGTAGAACAATAGCAAGTCTTTTTTCATAAATCTGAAGTTACCTTTAATGAAATGAGATAGACCATGTTTAATTCTCTATCTCCCCACTATTACGCAGGTTGTGTGAGAATTGTGTATTTGTTACTATATTCCAGAAATCAGCACAGTGCATACTACAATGTGCTTCATTATTACTTATGATTAAGTAAATGAATGAATGCATCATTGACTAAATTCAAACATTGACAGAAAACCAATTTTATATTTCCTAGGTTAAAAAAAACTAAATTCCTAAATTATAGAAGGAAGACAGTCTCACGGTAATGAAATGACACCTTGATTCAGCTTAAAAAAATTAAATTCGCATATGTGTTCTGTCATTATAGACCAGATTTTTTTTTCCCCCAAAGCAAGACCTTTAATAGAGAAAAAAAAGGGTTTGGGTAATGACATTTCACTAACAAGGATGGTGGATTATGTTTTTTAAACATACATTATAGGCCATGAGAGGTAGCTGACTCCTGTAATCCCAGCACTTTGGGAGGCCAAGGTGGGCGGATCATCTGAGGTCAGGAGTTCAAGACCAGTCTGGCCAACATGATGAAACCCCGTCTCTACTAAAAATACAAAATTAGCTGGTCTTGGTTGTGCATGCCTGTAATCCCAGCTACTCAGGAGGCTGAGGCCGGAGAATCGCTTGAACCCAGGAGGCAGAGGTTTCAGTGAGCTGAGATCATGCCATTGCACTCCAGTCTCATGACAGAGTGAAATTCTATCAAAAAAAAAAAAAAATACACATATATAGCCAGGGTAGCTAAAAAATAAAATAAAATAAAATAAAGATAGAAATTACAAATTACTAATAACAGAAATAAAAGAGGGTAGTTAGGGGACTTCACTGCAGATTGTATGGACATTACGATGATAATAAAAAAAAACTATCACAGTTTTATGCTCCCAAATTTGATAAGCTCTAAGAAATCCACCAATTCATTGAAAGATACAATCTGCCAAAACTCACACAGGCACACAGAAAGAAACAGGCAATTTATTTTTTAAAATTAATTTTTGACTTGTATATGCAGAACATGAAGTGGAAAATCTAAATAGTCCCATACCTATTACAGAAATTGAATAAATATTTAATAATACTAAAAAATAGAAAAAAGAAGACAGGTGGGCTTACTGATGAATTTTAACAAATCTTTAAAGCAGAAATTACACCAATTTTTACAATGTCTTTCAGAAGACAGAAGCAGAGACTACTTCTTAATGCATTCCATGAGGACAGTATTCCCATTATACCCAAATCAGAAAAGACATCACAAGAAAATATCTCATGAAGGTAGATAATACAATGGTAGTTTCCAGAGGCTGGGAAGGGAAGTAGAGATAATAAAGAGGAATATGTTAAGGTGTACAAAGATAAGAGTTAGATAGAAAATAAGTTCTAGTATTCTACAGTATGGTACAGAAATACAGTTAATAATTATTATATATTTCAAAACAGCTAGAAAAGAAGAGTTGTAACATTCTCAACACCAGGAAAAGATAAATGTTGAGGTGATGACTATTTAAATTACCTTGATTTGAGCAATACACATTGCATATATGTATTAAAATATCACATGTACCCCCAATATATGTCCAACTATTATATACCAACAAAAACTTTTAAAAAGTAAAAAAGCTACAGACCAAAATCTCTCATTAACATAGATCCAAAGTAGTATTGTCTCAGACTTATAAGGCTGGTTCAAAATTCAAATACTAATGAAATTAATCACATCAACACCCTAAAACAATCACATGACTATTTCAATAGATGCAAAAAAAAAGCACTTGAAAAAATTCAACACCCATTTATAAAAACTCCCAGTAACCTAGGAATAGTGGAGAACTTCCTCAACTTGATAAAGAATATCTACAAAAATCCTACAGCTAGCATAGTATCTGTGATGAGTCAAAAGTCCTGCTTATGAACAATACATCATCATGTGATAACTGTTGAGACTGCATTCCAAGCAGTTACAACTTAAATAACTAGACAGAGTTTCTGAATTAAGGAATGTTAAAGTCAAACTTGATCAACATAAGAAAAATACTTTATTTAGGAAAAATCATGGTGTTATTATCATTTTTCCTTTATTTCTTAGCTCTGCTGCCTCCATCAGCAAAGCAGAAAAATATCTAGTCATTTCTTAACACTGAAGTTAGCTGTAATGAAATGAGACAGAACATGTTTAATTCTCTATCTCCACACTATTATGTAGGCTACCTGGGGATGATTATTACAGATTATTACCATATTCCAGAGAAGCAAAAGACCCAGAATAGCCAACACAGTATTGAAGGGGAAGAACAAAGGACTGACACTATCTGACTTCAAGATTTACTATATAGCTATAGTAACCAAAATAGTGTGGTATTGGTGACAAAACAAATAGACCAATAGAACAGAAGAAAGAATCAAGAAATAGATTCACAGAAATGTAGTCAGCTGATTTTTGACAGAGAAGGTAAAGCAATTCAATTGGATGTCTACATGCAAAAAAAAAAAATTTAGACACGTCGCACATACTTTACAATACATAACTCAAAATGAATTATAGACCTACATGTAAAACACAAAACTGTCAAACTTCTACAAGTTTGAAGCCTAGATGACCCTGGGTATGGTGATTATTATTAGGTATAACATCAGAGGCACATCCATGAAAAAAATAATTGATAAGCCAGGATTCAGTAAAATTAAAAATTTCTGCTCTGTGAAAGACAATGTCAAGAGAATGAAACAAGTTACAAATTGGGAGAAAATATTTGTAAAAGACACATCTGATAAAAAAAAAACTATTATTCAAAATACGCAAACAACTGTTAAAATTTAACAATAAGAAGTCAGCCATTGTGGCTCACCTGTAATCCCAACACTTTAGAAGGCTGAAGCAGGAAGACTGCTTGAGGCCAGGAGTTTGAGGCCAGCCTGGGCAACATAGTGACATCTCATCTCTACAAAAACATAAAAAATAACTTAATAAGAATACAAACAACTCAATTAAAAACTAGGCCAAAGACCGGAACAGATACAACATGAAGAAGACATGGCAAATAAGGATACAAAAAGATGCTCCGTGTTATATGTCATTGGGAAAATGCAAATTAAAACAATAACGAGACCACTGCACACCTATTAGAACGGCCCAAATCCAGAACACTAACAATATCAACTTCTAGTGAAGTTGTGGAGCAGTAATTCTCATTCATTGCTGGGGGGAATGCAATGTTACAATCTGTGGAAGACATTTTGGCAGTTTCTTACAAAACTAAACATCCCCCTTATAATACAATCTAGCAAACATGCACTTTGGTATTTACCCCAAAAAGATGAAAATGTATTCCACACAAAACCTGCACATGGATATTTATAGCAGCTTTATTCATAATTGCCAAAACTTCAAAGCAACTAAATGTCCTTCAATAGGTGTATGGGTAAATAAATGGTGTTACACGTAGAAAATGAAATGTTATTTGGCACTAAAAATAAATTATCAAGCTCTGAAAAGATGGAGAAACCATAAACGCATATTACTAAAAAAAGAAACAAAACTGAAAAGTGTTCATACTGTATGATTCCAACTATATGACATTCTGGAAAAGGCAAGACTATGGCATCAGTAAAAAAAGATGGGTGGTTGTCAGGGCTAAGCTTGGAGGGAGGGACCTACAGGCAGAGCACAGAGAACTGTTAAGATAGTGAAATATTTTGTATGTTACTTTAATGGAGGATATATGTCATACTTTTGTCAAAACCCATAGAATGTACCAAAAGTGAACCCAAATGTGAACTTTGCGTTATGATGTATTAATATAGGCTCATTGATTGTAACAAATATGCTCCTCTGGTAAGAGATGTTGATAATGTGAAATTTGGGGTGGGAGGCTGGAGGATATGCTAAATCGCTGTGTTTTTCACTCAGTTTTTCTGTGAACCTAAAACTTCTCTAAAATTAGTTTATTAGAAATTCATCATAAAGTTTCAGTTCAAATGATGATAATTTTATACCTGGAGCATAAGTAAACTCAGAACTAAAATATATGGAGCACTTTTGATGTGCAAAGAGATTGGCTAAATACTTTAATGATGCTTTTTATTTTATTTTGAGTGTTTACAGTATGACAGACATGGGTCTTTTTGCAGCTGACACTTGTTATCCAGCAGAGCAGAGCTTAAGGCAAAATCCACACATTCCATTGTTTAAGGAATAGGCTTTGTCGTGGAAACTTAGATGCTAAGATCAGCAGTGAGTGAAAATGTGCTATTATCTCCCTGTTGTCACTATGTGCTAGGTTCAGTGTATTTTGCTGGACATGCCACACCTATATACCTCAGAGAAAGAACTCTGTCCCATATTTCTTTCTTCTAGGGCAAATAGGAAAGCAATGTTGTCAGAGGGAGAATAAGTAATCTGCTTAGTACCAGGTAGCCTAAATCAGCATGTGCAAATTTTCATAAGGATTTTAGGAAAGTCTGATGCCCAGCACTTAGGGATCTTGGATACATTGGACACACAGTAGGAGAAGGGAGGATATCTGGCCTGGAGAGATTTTTGCCTAGGCAATAAAAAGTAATGTATTTTCCAGGGTCATTTTAGCACAGTACTGCTTGATGCACCAGAGTCCAATCCTTGATTCTTAGGGTTCATTATCTGTATCTAAAATAGGAAGATTGGGAAGATATATGTATACCTCCTTTCTCCTTTGTTCTTTGGGATGGAAGAAGTCTATGTCTGATAAGCAACTAGAGTTTGCCAAGCCCCTTAAGGGATGAGTTACAACCCTTCCTGGAGCAGAAAGATGTACAGAAACTCAGGGGTTATCATTTTGTCTTCATACACTTCTTCTGGGGGAAGAAAAGGTTGATTGCAAAGGCACTGCTGCTTTTAGTAACCCACTGAGGTTAAAATAGGAAAAAATATATGTACTGCTTCATCCTCGATTCTGTGCTTGAATTTCTTATTTTAAAAGTATTGTATGGGTTTGCTCGTTCTCCAAGTTTTTACTTAGATTTAAACGGAAAAGTTTCCACAAGGCTAAACTTACGATTACTTGAAATCAGTGAAAAGCTAGATTTTAAGTGGATACTTAAAGGCATTTTATATCCATAAATTAAATTGAAAAATCACCTACTTAAACATTTAAGGCAAAGATTCTGAGACATTAGTGTCGATGACAGTACGGTTTGTTTATCTTTCCAAATGTTCACATAAAAACATACTAAGCAACTAGATAGCAAAAGCTAAACAATCAAAACACCAAAACCAACAACAAAAACCTGATGGACAGCATTTACATGTAAAGATTAGTGATCAGCTGGCCCTATGAACTTCAAAATGCCAGCAGCTATAGCCGTAGGTATGGCATGCTATTGGAACAGGCAAAAGAGAAAACGGAGGGATAATTGACAGACCTGAAGAAAGGAGATTCCAAAAATAGTCCAGAGATGTTCACAGGAATACTTGGTGAAAGAATTTGAGAACACTGGCTCCACTTAGATGGCGGGTTGCTTGTTCCAGTAGCGAAGAAAAGCAGAGGGTCTGTGTTAGGTATTAAAAGTCTGAAGCATGAAGTCCTTGCCCGTGCCTATGTCCTGAATGGTAATGCCTATGTTTTCTTCTAGGGTTTTTATGGTTTTAGGTCTAACATTTAAGTATTTAATCCATCTTGAATTGATTTTTGTATAAGGTGCAAGGAAGGGATCCAGTTTCAGCTTTCTACATATGGCTAGCCAGTTTTCCCACCACCATTTATTAAATAGGGAATCCTTTCCCCATTGCTTGTTTTTCTCAGGTTTGTCAAAGATCAGATAGTTGTAGATATGCGGCATTATTTCTGAGGGCTCTGTTCTGTTCCATTGATCTATATCTCTGTTTTGGTACCAGTACCATGCTGTTTTGGTTACTGTAGCCTTGTAGTATAGTTTGAAGTCAGGTAGCATGATGCCTCCAGCTTTGTTCTTTTGGCTTAGGATTGACTTGGCAATGTGGGCTCTTTTTTGGTTCCATATGAACTTTAAAGTAGTTTTTTCCAATTCTGTGAAGAAAGTCATTGGTAGCTTGATGGGGATGGCATTGAATCTATAAATTACCTTGGGCAGTATGGCCATTTTCACGATATTGATTCTTCCTACCCATGAGCATGGAATGTTCTTCCATTTGTTTGTATCCTCTTTAATTTCATTGAGCGGTGGTTTGTAGTTCTCCTTGAAGAGGACCTTCACGTCCCTTGTAAGGTGGATTCCTAGGTATTTTATTCTCTTTGAAGCAATTGTGAATGGGAGTTCACTCATGATTTAGCTCTCTGTCTGTTATTGGTGTATAAGAATGCTTGTGATTTTTGTACATTGATTTTGTATCCTGAGACTTTGCTGAAGTTGCTTATCCAAAAGCAATGGCAACAAAAGCCAAAATTGACAAATGGGATCTAATTAAACTAAAGAGCTTCTGCACAACAAAAGAAACTACCATCAGAGTAAACAGGAAACCCACAAAACGGGAGAAAATTTTCCCAACCTACTCATCTGACAAAGGGCTAATATACAGAATCTACAATGAACTCAAACAAATTTACAAGAAAAAAACAAACAACCCCATCAAAAAGTGGGCAAAGGACATGAACAGACACTTCTCAAAAGAAGACATTTATGCAGCCAAAAAACACATGAAAAAATGCTCACCATCACTGGCCATCAGAAAAATGCAAATCAAAACCACAATGAGATATCATCTCACACCAGTTAGAATGGCAATCATTAAAAAGTCAGGAAACAACAGGTGCTGGAGAGGATGTGGAGAAATAGGAACACTTTTACACTGTTGGTGGGACTGTAAACTAGTTCAACCATTGTGGAAGTCAGTGTGGCGATTCCTCAGGGATCTAGAACTAGAAATACCATTTGACCCAGCCATCCCATTACTGGGTATATACCCAAAGGACTATAAATCATTCTACTATAAAGACACATGAACACATATGTTTATTGTGGCACTATTCACAATAGCAAAGACTTGGAACCAACCCAAATGTCCAACAATGAGAGACTGGATTAAGAAAATGTGGCACATAGACACCATGGAATACTATGCAGCCATAAAAAATGATGAGTTCGTGTCCTTTGTAGGGACATGGATGAAATTGGAAATCATCATTCTCAGTAAACTATTGCAAGAACAAAAAACCAAACACCGCATATTCTCACTCATGGGTGGGAATTGAACAATGAGAACACATGGACACAGGAAGGGGACCATCACACTCTGGGGACTGTTGTGGGGTGGGGGGAAGGGGGGAGGGATAGCATTGGGAGATATACCTAATGCTAGATGACGAGTTAGTGGGTGCAGCACACCAGCATGTCACATGTATACATATGTAACTAACCTGCGCATTGTGCACATGTACCCTAAAACTTAAAGTATAATAATGAAATTTTTAAAAAAAAGAGTCTGAAGCAGCTTAATTTCTATGAACTCTCAAAATGGATTCACTCAGGATCTCTTCCAAACAAAGCGTCCTACACTAAAGAAAAATTAGTGGGAGAAAGTTGGGGTAAAGGAACAGAGTAAACAAGGAAAATCAGAAAGCAAGGTGCCATAATTTTTATGGCTGTACAAAAATAATAGAAAGGAGATTCTGTGAAGTAGTAAAAGCTATATGAACCAAGCCTACGGCTGAAATGAGCAACAAAGTATTAGCATCATATCCCATGTAATGTTTCCACAGGAAAAAAAGAGATTATAAATGACATCACACAGGTAATGAGATATATGTTCATAAGCAAATCAAAACCCTAATATGTCAAAAAAATTTCAAAATAAACTGAATGATCTTAAGAAAATAATACAAGACCTGAGTGAACAAATTATATCAGAATTGGGAAAACACTCAGGAATGAGGTGATGTGGTTCAAGAGATCATTTGAAATGAAAGAAAAAAATCATTTTAGACATGAAGATTAAATGAGAAGAACCAAAATAGCAAATCAACATAACAAATAATGCCTTAAGAGAAAAAATATGAAAAAACAAACAAAAATTGATGATAATAGAAAGAAATTGACACTACATATTGAACAAACACACCTTAAATTTCAGAATGTCTATCCAGAACAACCAACACCAAGATATATTTCAGTAACTACTAGGATTGAAAAAATGATTTGAGCATTGCTGCAATGGGCATGTGATTTACAAAAGAAAAAAAAACAGATCATCAAACGCTTTGGCACTTTATCCCCTAAAAATGTGAAATAATATATTCACAAACTCAAGCAAATGAAATCTGAAGCAATGATTTTACAGCTTTAAAAACCTTGACATTTGAGTAAAAAGGCATTTGCAAACTCCTACTGCTACACAAAGTCTCAG